>NT_187675.1:0-282224 GCF_000001405.40 Homo sapiens | reverse complement strand
GAATTCCATTCTAGCACTTGTGAGCATGTGTCTTTGCACCAGTCATGTCTTCTATTTTTTTTTTTTTTGAGATAGAGTCTCACTGTGTTCCAGCCTCTGGAGTAGCTGGGACTACAGGCACACACCACATACCCAGGTAATTTTTTTCATATTTTTAGTAGAAACGGGGTTTTGCCATGTTGGCCAGGCTGGTCTTGAACTCCCAACCTCAGATGACCTGCCTGCTTCGGCCTCCCAAAGGGCTGGGATGGCAGGCCTCTGAGGCTGGAGTACAGTGGTGTGATCTCAGCTCACTGCAACCTCCGCCTCCCGAGTTCAAGCAATCCTCTTGCTTCAGCCCCGAGTAGCTGTAATTACTGGCGTGCGCCACCACACCCAACTCATGTTTGTATTTTTAGTAGAGATGGGGTTTCACTGTGTTGGCCAGGCTGGTCTTGAACTCCTGACCTCAAGTGATCCAGCCGCCCCTGCCTTCCAAAGTGCTGGGATTACATGCAGGAGCCACCCGGCCCAGCCCGTCTTCTATTTAAGCCTCATTTTCCTCATTAAGTCATCATTACCTCTTTCTCCTCACACATAGTGAAATTCAAAGTCTCACTATTTTTTTTTCTTTTTCTTTTTCTTTTTCTTTTTTTTTGAGACGGAGTCTCACTCTGTCGCCCAGGCTGGAGTGCAGTGGCGCGATCTCAGCTCACTGCAAGCTCCGTCTCCCGGGTTCACGCCATTCTCCTGCCTCAGCCTCTTGCGTAGCTGGGACTACAGGCGCCCGCCACCACGCCCGGATAATTTTTGTATTTTTTTTTAGTAGAGACAGGGTTTCACCGTGTTAGCCAGGATGGTCTTGATCTCCTGACCTCATGATCCACCTGCCTCGGTTTCCCAAAGTGCTGGGATTACAGGCGTGAGCCACCGCGCCGGGCCTCACTCCTGTAATCCTAGCCGTGCGCCCCAGGCCCATCCCACCGTCATCTTCCAAACATCATTTTCAACCCTCCTGGCCTCATAGTTATTATTGTATTACCCCAGTTATCTTCCTGCCCCAGGGCACAGGCAGATGCCATTTCATTCTCTCCAGAGCCTCCTTTCTCCTGACAGCCACATGATTAACTCAAGTCTGAACGCATTTGCTCAGATGCCTTCTTTCTCTGTGAGGTCCATCTGGACAAACCTATTTAATATTGCTAGCTGCCATTTCAATCACTGTAAGTCTGTTCTACTTTGTCTTTTCCTTCCATAGCATCATTCCCTCCTGTGTGCTATCCTGACGTTGACCGATGGTGTGTCTCCTCCTGCTAGAATCTAAGTGCTGCACAGTCAAGATATCTGCCTGGCTGACTGTTACAGTGTAGTTCACTGTGTATACTATGCACTTGATGAATATATATATATAATAGTTTTGTTTTTGTTTTTCTGTGAGATGGAGTCTCGCTGTGTCGTGCAGTGGAGTGGAATGCAGTGGCGCGATCTCAGCTCACTGCAACCTCTGCATCCCAGGTTCAACAATTCTCCTGCCTCAGCCTCCTGAGTAGCTGGGATTACAGGCGAGCACCACCAGGCCCGGCTAATTTTTGTATTTTTAGTAGAGATGGGGTTTCACCATGTTGGTCAGGCTGGTCTCGAATTCCTGACCTTGTGATCCAACCACCTTGGCCTCCCGAAGTGTTGGGATTACAGGTGTGAGCCATGATGCCCAGCCTAAGTTTTGTATTTTTAGTAGAGACAGGGTTTCGCCATGTTGGCCAGGCTGGTCTCAAACTCCTGACCTCAAATGATGCACCATCTCGGCCTCCCAAAGTGCTGGGATTACAGGCGTGAGCCACCACGCCTGGCCTCGATGAATATTTTGAATGAATGCCACGTTTTTAGTGTCACTGGGAGGCTCTGATCGCTCGTCTGAGCTTAGAAGGACCAGTTACTCACCAGGAAAGGTGGGGTCTTCAGGTGCAAGGCTGGTGTTCTCAATGTCGCCTGGAAAAGGAGATAAAGAAAAAAAAGTAAGGGTTTTTGGTTTCCTCCGGTCTTGCCATTCTTTTTTTTTTTTTTTTTTTTTTGAGATGGAGTCTTGCTCTGTCGCCCAGGTTGCAGTGCGGTGGTATGATCTCGGTTCACTACAACCCCCGCCTCCCGGGTTCAAGCGATTCTCCTGCCTCAGCCTCCTGAGTAGCTGGGACTACAGGTGTCCGCCACTGCGTCTGGCTAATTTCTGTATTTTTAGTAGAGACGGGGTTTCACCGTCTTGGCCAGGCTGGTCTCGAACTCCTGACCTTGTGATCCACCCGCCTTACCATTCCTTTCTCTGTTCCCTCCTCCTTCCTGCTTCTGGTGTTCTTCCTCACATGACCAACCAGGCACCCAGGAAGTGGACGTCCCTTGGACACCCTCCCCATCACTCTCTGGGGATCCCTCAGGGCTCCAGGTAGCACATGGCGGCGAAGGGTGTGGGGAATTGAGCATTTCCTCACCTGTGACCAGGAGCTTCACTGGCTCACTGGGGAAAGACCAGGCATGGTTGTTATAGGAGCCAAAACATCGGTATGTCCCTCTGTGGGCTGTGGTCACAGGGCCCAGGGGGAACTCCGCCTGGACCTTCCCGTATCCGCGCTGTACGTGGCTGGATCTTCCCTCCTTGAGCAGTAAGAACATGCTTGTTGCAGTGTCTAGACGGCAGTAGAAGGTCACCTTCTCTCCCGAGATCACTTCGGGTCCAGGATGAACCGAGAGGGTGGGTGTGTCATACATTTCTATGAGAGAAGGTGGGGCCACCACACCAGAAACTCAGTGATGAGCAGCCAGCTATTTTTTTTTTTCTTTCTTTAGAGATGGAGTCTCTCTCTGTCGCCCAGGCTGGAGTGCAGTGACACGATCTTGGCTCACTGCAACCTCCGCCTCCCGGGTTCAAGCGTTTCTCCTGCCTCACCCTCCCAAGTAGCTGGGACTACAGGGGCCTGCCACCATGCCTGGCAGCCAGCTTTTTTTTTTTTTTTTAATTATTATTTTGGTCAAATACACACAATAGAAGATTTACCGTCTAAAACCATTTTTAAAAATGATACAGGGTCTTGCTCTGTTTCCCAGGCTGGAGCGCCGTGGCACTATCTTTGCTTACTGAAGCCTCGACCTCCTGGGTCAGGAGTTTGAGACCAGCCTGGTCAACATGGTGAAACCCCGTCTCTACTAAAAATGCAAAAATTAGCCGGGTGTGGTGGCACATGCCTGTAATCTCAACTACTTGGGAGGCTGAGGCAGGAGAATTGAGGCTGAGGCAGAGGTTGCAGTGAGCTGAGATTGTACCACTGCACTGCAGCGAGACTGTCTCAAAAAAAAAAAAAAAAGCCCCGGCCAGCCGCCCCGTCCGGGAGGTTGGGGGGCAGCCCCCGCCCGGCCACTGCCCCGTCTGGGAGGTGGGGGGGCGCCTCTGCCCGGCCGCCCCGTCTGGGAAGTGAGGAGCCCCTCTGCCCGGCCGCCACCCCGTCTGGGAGGTGTACCCAACAGCTCATTGAGAACGGGCCATGATGACGATGGCGGTTTTGTCGAATAGAAAAAGGGGAAATGTGGGGAAAAGAAAGAGAGATCAGATTGTTACTGTGTCTGTGTAGAAAGAAGTAGACATAGGAGACTCCATTTTGTTCTGTACTAAGACAAATTCTTCTGCTTTGGGATGCTGTTAATCTATGACCTTACCCCCAACCCCGTGCTCTCTGAAACATGTGCTGTGTCCACTCAGGGTTAAATGGATTAAGGGCGGTGCAAGATGTGCTTTGTTAAACAGATGCTTGAAGGCAGCATGCTCCTTAAGAGTCATCACCACTCCCTAATCTCAAGTACCCAGGGACACAAACACTGCGGAAGGCCGCAGGGACCTCTGCCTAGGAAAGCCAGAGACCTTTGTTCACATGTTTATCTGCTGACCTTCTCTCCACTATTGTCCTATGACCCTGCCAAATCCCCCTCTCCGAGAAACACCCAAGAATGATCAATAAATACTAAAAAAATTAAAAAAAAAAGAATAAATGAGTAGCTGTGTTCCCCTGCCAGAACCTCCAAACAAGGTCCAAAGACCCTGAGCAAATGAAAAGGCACAGACAAAAAATATATATATTTCAACACAAGTATATGACACAGAATATAGAAATAACTTTTCCTAATCAATCAAAATATAAGCAACCCAATTTAAAAATAGGCAAAAGATTTAAATAGACATTTCACAAAAGAAGATATTTGAATGGACATGAAATACTGTTGTGAGCTGCATAATGACATTTTGGCCAACAATGTACCACATATATGATGGTGGTCCCATAAGATTATAATGAAACTGAAAAATTCCTATTGCCTGATGACATCATAGCCTTCCTAGCACAAAGTATTGCTCATGTGTTTTTGGTGTTGCTGGTATAAACAAACCTAATTGTATAGCACATACAATTATGTATGTATATGTAACTATGTATAATACTTGATAATAATAATAAACAACCATATTGTTAAAAAAAAAAAAAAGCTAATTTTTTTTTTTTTTTAGAAAACCACCACCTGGCTGGGTGTGATGGCTCACACCTGTAATCCCAGCACTTTGGGAGGGTGAGGCGGGCGGATCATCTGAGGTCAGGAGTTCGACACCACCCTGGCCAACATGGTGAAACCCCATCTCTACTAAAAATACAAAATGTGGCGTAGTGGTGGGTGCCTGTGATCCCAGCTACTTGGGAAGCTGAGGCTGGAGAATCACTTGAACCCAGGAGGTGGAGGTTGCAGTGACTGGAGATTGCACCACTGCACTCCAGCCTGGGTGACAAGAGCGAAACTCCGTCTCAAAACAGATAAAAAAAAAAAAAACCCACCACCTGTGATGGGTGAGGGAAGCAAAGTGTAAGCCACTGCGCCTGGCCCACAGGCATTGTTTTTGAGGACATTCCTCAGTCATACCCCTGCATACAAATATCTATCTCAGAATCTGTGTCATGGAGAAACTGACTGAGGACACATCTGCTCCTAGGACGTAGAGACACGGTCTGCAGACAACCCCTTGTAGGCAAGGATTGTGATGGGGATCACCCCTCCTTCCAGCCTCCTACCGAGACAAGCAGTGTCTGAGTGGGGCTTGGAAGAGTTCATAGATGATGCTGCATCCCGGATGCAGACTGAGATCACTCTCCAGTTAGAGAACCGGACAGTTACCTGTTACCACCAGATCCAGCAAGTTGCTGGGCTCTGACCAGAGCTCCCCAACCCGATAGATGCAGCTGTATTGCCCTGCCATGCGGGAGTTCATGTCCGGGATGTAGAATTGGACTTTGTTAATCCGCTCAGGGGGTTTTGGTCTGTCCACGGCAAAAAGGCTTCCTTCAAAGTGCAGCTGGTATTCAACAGCCCCATAATTTCCCTGGCAACAGATGGTCACTTGCTTTTCCTTTGGAACCATGAAATGGGGCTCGGCCCAGATGAACGGTTTTGGGAGAGTCTCTGGAAGGGAATCAGAGGCTGGAGTTCCAGCGGAGCCCCCTCCCCCCAACCTTAGGCTCCACCCAGCTGCTGGCCCCAAGCTCTCCTGGGAAGCCAGCACCCTGTCCCCTCACCCCAGCCGTGCTTGGGTGGAAGGAGCTTGGCCTGAATCCGGAAGAGTGACCCTGGGCTTTGAAGGAAGGACTCACGCTGCTGGGCGCTGATCCTCTGACTCAGACACAGCCCTGGAAGACGGGAGTAATGAGACCTGTTGCCTCCCAGGCACACCGTGATCCCATTCCCCTTCCACGCCAGAACTCACCGACGCAGAGCAGGGCAGGGAGTGTGGAAGACATCGCTCAGATTCTGCCGGCCTAGTGCTGAGCAGTGGGGACTGAGCCGGGCGGGCCAGGGAGATAGATACACAGGAAGTGGTGGGTGAGCACCAGCGCCCATCACCAGAGCGCTTTCACGTTGACTGCTTTCATCAGAACGTTCACAACTCCCCTCCGCCTCTGACCATGAGCTTACAGAAAGGCCGTGGTCCCTCTGACACATCTGTGGTCTAGCCAGCAACTCTGACAATTGTCTGCTCAGCCCAAAATGCATTTCTGGGTCAACTTCTCAATTCTGCAATGTGGAGGTCGTACCCAGAGCTGACTGTGGGAAGTTGTGCCCAATCATGCCCAGAGGAAACCCCCTGAGAATCGTATAAAAACATAGGGAGTTTCACAGTGAGATACTGGAACAGGAATTAAAAGAAATTACAGAATGTGTAAACAAAAACTCAGTTGTATTTAAGAAAACCCAGTTCCCCCCGAGGAAGAGAAAGAGGTGGAGTCCTTTAAACATGAACTGCCTGTTTTTCTGTCTGTGGCTAGTGAGCCTTATCTCTCCCTTTCCCAGGCATTGTGAAGACCCTGTTTCTCTTGCCGTGCGGCTGCAAGGTCACTAGACAGGATAACCTCAAGTCGTAAAACATATTTTTCTTGAAAAGTAAGGAATAATGTGATGCATGTCTCAATTGAATAACTGCCTTTGTTTCTTGCTTCTGTAATATGCTTCCCCCTGCACAGATCTCCCCCAACCCCACAAAATGCTTAAAAGGTAACCGGACTCTCTGTTCGAGCCTCAGTCTTTTTGGATGTTAATCTGACTGGGGCCGGTGCACCTAAATAATAATAATAATAATAAATCCTCCTCAACCCCTCGGTCTCTCTGATTCCTAAATTATCCCTCAACAATACCATCTCACACCAGTCAGAATGGCCATTACTGAAAAGCCAGAAATTAACAGATGCTGGTGAGATTGTGGAGCAAAGGGGACACTTATACACTGTTGGTGGGTGTAAATTAGTTCAGCCACTGTGGAAAGCAGTTTGGTTTGGAGATATTTCAGAGAACTACAAACAGAGTTACCATTCAGCCCAGCAATCCCATCGCTGGGTATATAGCCAAAGGAAAATAAATCATTCTACCAAAAAGACACATGCACTTGTATGTTCATTGCAGCAGGATTCACAATAGTGAAGACATGGAATCCACCCAGGTCCCATCAGAGGTGGACTGGATAAAGACAATGTGATATGTATACACCACAGAACGCTATACAGCCTTGAAAAATCACAAGATTATGTCCTTTGCAGCAACATGGATGCAGCTAGAGGCCATTATCCTAAGCGAGTTAACACAGAAACAGAAAACCAAATACTGGCCAGACACGGTGGCTCAGGCCTGTCATCCCAGCACTTTGGGAGGCTGAGGCAGGTGGATCACCTTAGGTCGGGAGTTCGAGACCAGCCTGACCAACATGCAGAAACCCTGTCTCTACTAAAAATTCAAAATTAGCCGGGTGTGGTGGCACATGCCTGTAGTCCCAACTACTCGGGAGGCTGAGGCAGGAGAATTGCTTGAACCTGGAAGGTGAAGGTTGCAGTGAGCCGAGATGGTGCCATTGTACTCCAGCCTGGGCAACAAGAGTGAAACTCCATCTCAAAAAAAAAAAAAAAAAAGAAAAGAAAACCAAATACCACATGTTCTCACTTATAAGTGAGAGCGCTAAACATTGGGTAAGGAGGGGAGCAAGGCTTGAAAATCTACCTATTTGGTGACTAGATCATTAATGCAAGCCTCAGCATCATGCAATATACTCATAAAAAACCTGCACATGTATCTGCTGAATCTAAAAAGATAAAAATAGGGGTTTTGACGTTGGCTTCTCTGTGTACAGTATACATATGCTTGGATAAGTTAATTGGTTTCATCAGAATGGAATGATAACACTATCTTCTTCAAAGATAGTGTTATAATGTTTCAATAAAATAAAAGTGAAAAGAAAAGCTTTTCATTTAAAGAACTTAATAAGAAAAGAAACATTTCTTTTCTTTTTCTTTTTCTTTCTTTTTTTTTTTTTTTTTTGAGACAGAGTCTTGCTCTGTTGCCCAGGCTGTGGTGCAGTGGTGTGATCTCAGCTCACTGCAACCTCTGCCTTGTGGGTTCAAGCAATTCTCCTGCCTCAGCCACCTGAGTAGCTGGGACTACAGACACCCAACACCACGCCCAGCTCATTTTTGTACTTTTAGTAGAGACCGGTTTTTACCACGTTGGCCAGGATGGTCTCCAACTCCTCACCTCAAGTGAATCTTCCTGCCTCGGCCTCTCAAAGTGCTGGGATTACAGGTGTGAGCCACCACACCCAGCCAAGAAACATTTCTTTTAAGTAAGTAACTAACTCTCCACTTAATAAAAAAAAATTCTATGCAGAAGTTGTTAAGATCTACAGTAAGAAAAAAGAAATTCATGCATTTTATATATACACACATATATACATATATACCTTTTATATATATACACATATATACATTTATACATATATGTATACATATATACATATATGTGTATATATACTGCATAGTACCGTACATGTATATATACACATGCATATATACACATACATGTATATGCGTATATATACACATATATGTATATATACACACATGCATACATGCATATATATGTATACACACATGTATGCGTGTATACATACATATATGTATATACATACATGTATCCGTGTATACATACATATATGTATATACATACATGTATGCGTGTATACATACATGTATGCGTGTATACATACATATACATATATGTATATACATACATGTATATATACATGTATGTATATATGCATATATGTATATACATACATGTATATATACATGTATGTATACATATACGTATATGTGTATATATGTATATACATATATATATACATGTAAGGTACTATGTAGTTTTCAGCATCCACTGGGGCCTTGGAATATATCCTGGTGGATACATGTGACTACTGTACAAGACTAGTTGTATCTTCTTGAGGCAAACAAATGTGCTAATTCTTTTTTTTTTCTCTTTAAGACGGAATCTCACTCTGTCCCTCAAGCTGGGGTGCAGTGGTGCAATCTCAGCTCACTGCAACCTTCACCTCCTGGGTTCAAGCAATTCTCCTGTTCTAGCCTCCCAAGTAGCTGGGATTACAGGCGTGTGCCACCACACTCGACTAATTTTTGTATTTTTAGTAGAGACAGGGTTTCCCCATGTTGGCCAGGCTAGTCTCGAACTCTTGACCTCAAGTGATCAGCCCACTTTAGCCTCCCAAAGTGCTGGGATTACAGGCGTGAGCCACCACACCCAGCCCGCCTCCTTCTTATTTACTGAAGATTCAGTACTCGGTGCTGGCGTTTCCCCTTACACAGCTGTCATAACTCTGGGTGTTTTCTTTATCCTTCCCCCTACGGAGCGCTTGGATGCCCTCTATGGAGGAGACTTATGTAGGCTGGATCCTCAGACCTCAGCCACCCTCTCAGCCATAACATAGTTACCTTCACCAAAGAAATATAAGAATATTGTCTTTTATTATTTTGAGCTTTTAATTTTGACATAATTCCAGACTTGCAAAAATAGTTTAAAGAATTTCTGGCCAGGTGCAGTGGCTCACACCTGTAATCCCAGCACTTTGGGAGGCCGAGGTGGGTGGATTGCTTGAGACGAGCCTGGGGGAAAAAAAAATGCAAAAATTAGCCAGGTGTGGTGCTGTGCGCCTATAGTCCCAGCTACTTGGGAGGCTGAGGTGAGAGGGTCATCTGAGCCCAGGGAGGTAGAAGCTGCAGTGAGCCATGATCGTGCCACTGCACTCTAGCCTGGGTGACAGAGTGTTACCCTGTCTATAAAAAAAAAAAAAATCTGTAATTTCTTCATCCAGATTTCCCCAAAGTTAGCATTTTACCACATTTGCTTCATCATTCAGCCTCTCTCCCTCTCCCTCTCTCCCCGAAGAAAGTGTGTCTAATTTGCATATGATGCCCTAAACCTCTAATCACTTCAGGTTATATTTCCCAAAACCAAGGACATTCTGTTATTAATGTTCAAGGTCAAGAAATAGCACTGATATGACACTATTGTCTGATCTATCCACTTTATTCAAATTTCACCACTTGTTTTACCAGTGACATATATTTGGTTTAGGATTTAATCCAAGATTACACAATTTATTTAATTGTCATGTCTCTCTTATTTGGAGATGGAATCTTGCTCTGTAGCCCAGGCTGGAGTGCAATGGTGTGATCTCAGCTCACTGCAACCTCCGCCTCCTGGGTTCAAGCAATTCTCTTGCCTCAGCTTCCTGAGTAGCTGGGATTAGAGGCACCCACAACCACGCCCAGCTAATTTTTGTATTTCTAGTAGAGATGGGGTTTCGTCAAGTTGGCCAGGCTGGTTTTGAACTCCTGAACTCAACTGATCCACCTGCCTCAGCCTCCCAAAGTGCTGGGATTAGAGGCATGAGCCACCACGCCCAGCCTCCTTTAAAAAATAAAACTATAGACTTTATTCTGATTTCACCAGTTTTTCCACTAGCATCCTTTCTTCGCTCCAGGAGCTCCAGTGATCCGCCTGCCTCAGCCTCCCACCTGCCTCGGCCTCCCAAGGTATTGGGATTACAGGTGTGAGCCATCTGGATCTATTTAATTCAGCCTTAAGCCCACACCAGCATTCCTGGGACTGTCCCCCCTCTACAGACTCTAAGCCATGTTTGAGATGATGAATTTCAAGTCGTGATTCAATCACTTAAGTGGTAAGTGACACAGAGGATATTACTAATCTTTTTTTTTTTTTTTTTTTTTTTTGAGATGGACTCTCGCTCTGTCACCCATGCTGGAGTGCAGTGGCGCAATCTCGGCTCTCTGCAAGCTCTGCCTCCGGGGTTTATGCCATTCTCTTGCCTCAGCCTCCTGAGTGGCGCAATCTCGACTCACTGCAAGCTCTGCCTCCCGAGTTTATGCCATTCTCCTGCCTCAGCCTCCTGAGTAGCTAGGACTACAGGTGCCCACCACCACGTCCGGGTAATCTTTTTTTTTTTTTTTCAAAGTAGAGATGGGGTTTCACCATGTTAGCCAGGATGGTCTCCATCTCCTGACCTCGTGATCCGCCCTTCTCGGCCTCCCAAAGTGCTGGGATTACAGGCGTGAGCCACCGCACCCGGCCTTTTTTTGGTATTTAAAAATATAACTTTATTGAGATATAATTTACATGCCATACAATTACCCATTAAAAGTGCATAATTCAATGGTTTAAATTTTGTGGTATTCACGGAGTTGGTGCAACCGTCAACACAGTCTAATTTTAGAATGTTGTCATCACTGCCCTTCAGAACCCCATGCCGACCAGCTGCCCATCACCACGATCCCCTCACTCTCCCGGCCCTAGGCAACCACTCATCTTCTGTCTCTAAACACCAGAAGGTACTTTTCAAAAATTGTGGCAAAATACACATAACATACATTTTAATATTTAAGAAGTTTTCTAAGGCCAGGTGCAGTGGGTCATGCCTGTAATCCCAGCACTTTGGGAGGCCGAGGTGTGCGGATCACCAGGTCAGGTGATCCAGACTGTCAGGCCTCTGAGCCCAAGCTAAGCCATCATATCCCCCTGTGGCCTGTATGTACACATCCAGATGGCCGGTTCCTGCCTTAACTGATGACATTCCACCACGAAAGAAATGAAAATGGCCTGTTCTTGCCTTAAGTGATGACATTATCTTATGAAATTCCTTCTCCTGGCTCATCCCGGCTCAAAAGCTCCCCTACTGAGCACCTTGTGAACCCCACTCCTGCCCGCCAGAGAACAACCCCCTTTTGACTGTAATTTTCCTTTACCTACCCAAATCCTATAAAACGGCCGCACTCCTATCTCCCTTTGCTGACTCTCTTTCTGGACTCAGCCCGCCTGCACCCAGGTGAAATAAACAGCCTTGTTGCTCACACAAATCCTGTTTGGTGGTCTCTTCACACGGACGTGAGTGAAATTTGGTGCCATAACTCGAATCAGGGGATCTTCCTTAGGAGATCAATCCCCTGTCCTCCTGCTCTTTGCTCCATGAGAAAGATCCACCTACGACCTCTCGTCCTCAGACCAACCAGCCCAAGGAACATCTCACCAATTTTAAATCCAGTAAGCAGCCTCTTTTTACTCTCTTCTCCAACCTCTCTCACTATCCCTCAACCACTTTCTCCTTTCCACTCTTCAATCTCTCCCTTCTCTTAATTTCAGTTCCTTTCCTTTTCTGGTAGAGACAGGAGACGCGCTTTATTCGTGGACCCAAAACTCCAGCGCCGGTCATGGACTCGGGAAGGCAGCCTTCCCTTGGTGTTTAATCACGCGGGGACACCTCTCTGATTATTCACCCACGTTTCAGAGGTGTCTGACCACATGGGGATGCCTGCCTTGGTCCTTCACCCTTAGTGGCAAGTACTGCTTTTCTGGGGGGGCAAGAACCCCCAACTCCTTCTCTGTGTCTCTACCCCTTCTCTGCTTTTCTGGGGGGGCAAGAACCCCCCAACCCCTTCTCCTTCACCCTTAGTGGCAAGTACCGCTTTTCTAGGGGGCAAGAATCCCCCGATCCCTTATTTCTGTGCCCTGACGTCTTATCTCTGCACCCCGATCCCTTATTTCCACACCCCGACCTCTTGTCTCTGCACCCCAATCCCTTACTTCTGTGCCCTGACCCCTTTCCCGCTTTTCTGGAAGGTAAGAACCCCTGAACCCCTTCCCTCCATGTCTCTACTCTCTCTTTTCTCTGTGCTTGCCTCCTTCAGTATGGGCAACCTTCCACCCTCCATTCCTCCTTCTTCTCCCTTAGCCTGTGTTCTTAAAAACCTAAAACCTCTTCAACTCACACCTGACCTAAAACCTAAATGCCTTATTTTCTTCTGCAATGCTGCTTGACCCCAATACAAACTTGACAGTGGTTCCAAATAGCCAGAAAACGGCACTTTCAATTTTTCCATCCTACAAGATCTAAATAATTCTTGTTGTAAAATGGGCAAACGGTCTGAGGTGCCTGACATCCAGGCATTCTTTTACACATCGGTCCCTCCCTAGTCTCTATGCCCAGTGCAACTCGTCCCAAATCTTCCTTCTTTCCCTCCCGCCTGTCCCGTCAGTCCCAACCCCAAGCATCGCTGAGTCTTTCTAATCTTCCTTTTCTACAGACCCATCTGACATCTCCCCTCCTCGCCAGGCCGAGCTGGGTCCCAATTCTTCCTCAGCCTCCGCTCCTCCACCCTATAATCCTTTTATCACCTCCCCTCCTCACACCCGGTCCAGCTTACAGTTCCATTCCATGACTAGCCCTCCCCCAACTGCCCAGCAATTTCCTCTTAAAAAGGTGGCTGAAGCTAAAGGCATAGTCAAGGTTAATGCTCCTTTTTCTTTATCTGACCTCTCCCAAATCAGATAGTGTTTAGGCTCTTTTTCATCAAATTTAAAAACACAGCCCAGTTCATGGCTCATTTGGCAGCAACCCTGAGACGCTTTACAGCCCTAGACCCTAAGTCAAAAGGCCGTCTTATTCTCAATATACATTTTATTACCAAATCTGCTCCCAACATTAAATAAAGCTCCAAAAATTAAATTCTGTCCCTCAAACCCCACAACAAGACTTAATTAACCTCGCCTTCAAGGTGTACAGTAATAGAGTAGAGGCAGCCAAATAGCAACATATTTCTGAGTTGCAATTCCTTGCCTCCACTCCAGTATCCAGATGAGACAAACCCCAGCCACATCTCCAGCACACGAGAACTCCAAACGCCTGAACCGCAGCTGCCAGGGGTTCCTCCAGAACCTCTTCCCCCAGGAGCTTGCTACAAGTACTGGAAATCTGGCCACTGGGCCAAGGAATGTCCACAGCCTGGGATTCCTCCTAAGCCGCATCCCATCTGTGCGGGACCCCACTGAAAATCGGACTGTTCAACTCACCTGGCAGCCACTCCCAGAGCAGCTAGAACTCTGGCCCAAGGCTCTCTGACTCCTTCCCAGATCTTCTCGGCTTAGCAGCTGAAGACTGACACTGCCCGATCCCGATCGCCTCGGAAGCCTACAGGACCATCACAGACAGTCTAGGTAACTCTCACAGTGGAAGGTAAGCCCGTCCCCTTCTTAATCAATATGGAGGCTACCCACTCCACATTACCTTCTTTTCAAGGGCCTGTTTCTCTTGCCTCCATAACTGTTGTAGGTATTGACAGCTAGGCTTCTAAACCTCTTAAAACTCCCCAACTCTGGTGCCAACTTAGACAATACTCTTTCAAGCACTCCTTTTTAGTTATCCCCACCTGCCCAGTTCCCTTATTAGGCTGAGACACTTTAACTAAATTATCTGCTTCCCTGACTATTCCTGGACTACAGCTATATCTCATTGCTGCCCTTCTTCCCAATCCAAAGCCTCCTTTGTGTCCTCCTCTTGTATCCCCCCACCTTAACCCACAAGTATAGGATACCTCTACTCCCTCCTTGGTGACCAATCATGCACCCCTTACCATCTCATTAAAACCTAATCAACCTTACCCCGCTCAATGCCAATATCCCATCCCACAGCATGCTTTAAAAGGATTAAAGCCTGCTACAGCATGGCCTTTTAAAGCCTATAAACTCCCCTTACAATTCTCCCATTTTACCTGTCCTAAAACCAGACAAGGCTTACACATTAGTTCAGGATCTGCACCTTATCAACCAAATTGTTTTGCCTATCCACCCCGTAGTGCCAAACCCATATACTCTCCTATCCTCAATACCTGCCTCTACAACCCATTATTCTGTTCTGGATCTCAAACATGCTTTCTTTACTGTTCCTTTGCACCCTTCATCCCAGCCTCTCTTCGCTTTCACTTGGACTGACCCTGACACCGATCAAGCTCAGCAAATTACCTAGGCTGTACTGCTGCAAGGCTTCACAGACAGCCCCCATTACTTCAGTCAAGCCCAAATTTCTTCCTCCTCTGTTACCTATCTCGGCATAATTCTCATAAAAACACACGTGCTCTCCCTGCCAATCGTGTCCTAGTGATCTCTCAAACCCCAGCACCTTCTACAAAACAACAACTCCTTTCCTTCCTAGGCATGGTTAGCGTGGTCAGAACTCTTACACAAGAGCCAGGACCGCACCCTGTAGCCTTTCTGTCCAAACAACTTGATCTTACTGTTTTAGCCTAGCCCTCACGTCTGTGAGCAGCGGCTGCCGCTGCTTTAATAGTTTTAGAGGCCCTCAAAATCACAAACTATGCTCAACTCACTCTCTACAGTTCTCATAACTTCCAAAAATCTATTTTCTTCCTCACACCTGACGCATATACTTTCTGCTCCCCGGCTCCTTCAGCTGTACTCACTCTTTGTTGAGTCTCCCACAATTACCATTGTTACTGGCCCATACTTCAATCCGGCCTCCCACATTATTCCGGATACCACACCTGACCCCCATGACTGTATCTCTCTGATCCACCTGACATTCACCCCATTTCCCCACATTTCCTTCTTTCCTATTCCTCACCCTAATCACATTTAGTTTATTGATGGCAGTTCCACCAGGCCTAATCGCCACTCACCAGCAAAGGCAGGCTATGCTATAGTATCTTCCACATCTATCATTGAGGCTACCGCTCTGCCCCCTCCACTACCTCTCAGCAAGCCGAATTAGTTGCCTTAACTCAAGCCCTCACTGATGCAAAAGGACTATGCATCAATATTTATACTGACTCTAAATATGCCTTTCATATTCTGCCCCACCATGCGGTCATATGGGCTGAAAGAGGTTTCCTCACTACACAAGGGTCCTCCATCTTTAATGCCTCCTTAATAAAAACTCTGCTCAAGGCCGCTTTACTCCCAGAGGAAGCTGGAGTCATTCACTGCAAAGGCCATCAAAAGTCATCAGATCCCATTGCTCTAGACAATGCCTATGCTGACAAGGTGGCTAGACAAGCAGCTAGCTTTCCAACTTCTGTCTCTCACATCTATGCTTATGCTGATAAGGTAGCTAGACAAGCAGCTAGCATGCCAATTTCTGTCCCCCACAGCCAGTTTTTCTCCTTCTCATCAGTCACTCCCACCTACTCCCCCACTGAAACTTCCACCCATCAATCTCTTCCCACACAAGGCAAATGGTTCTTAGACCAAGGAAAATACCTCCTTCCAGCCTCACAGGC
The DNA here is from genome assembly GCF_000001405.40 of Homo sapiens. Lineage (NCBI taxonomy): Eukaryota > Metazoa > Chordata > Mammalia > Primates > Hominidae > Homo > Homo sapiens. The sequence goes on along the minus strand of NT_187675.1, from coordinate 266,247 downwards.
CCATTCTATTCGGTCGATATTTCATAGCCTCTTCCATGTAGGTTACAAGCTGCTAGCCCATCTCTTAGAACCTCTCATTTCCTTTCCATCCTGGAAATCTATCCTCAAGGAAACCACTTCTCAGTGTTCCATCTGCTATTCTACTACCCCTCAGGGATTGCTCAGGTCCCCTCCCTTCCCTACACATCAGGCTCGGGGATTTGCCCCCGCCTAGGACTGGCAAATTGACTTTACTCACATGCCCTGAGTCAGGAAACTAAAATACCTCTTGGTCTGGGTAGACACTTTCACTGGATGGGTAGAGGCCTTTCCCACAGGGTCTGAGAAGGCCACCGAGGTCATTTCTTCCCTTCTGTCAGACATAATTCCACAGTTTGGCCTTCCCACCTCTATACAGTCTGATAGCAGACCGGCCTTTATTAGTCAAATCAGCCAAGCAGTTTTTCAGGCTCTTGGTATTCAGTGAAACCTTTATATCCCTTACAGTCCTCAGTCTTCAGGAAAAGTAGAACAGACTAATAGTCTTTTAAAAACACACCTCACCAAGCTCAGCCACCAACTTAAAAAAGACTGGACAATACTTTTACCACTTTCTTTTCTCAGAATTCAGGCCTGTCCTCAGAATGCTAAAGGGTACAGCCCATTTGAGCTCCTGTATAGACGCTCCTTTTTATTAAGCCCCAGTCTCATTCCAGACACCAGACCAACTTGGAATGTGCCCCCAAAAACTTGTCATCCCTACTATCTTCTGTCTAGTCATACTCCTATTCACCATTCTCAACTACTCACACATGCCCTGCTCTTGTTTACACTGCTGGTTTACACTGTTTTTCCAAGCCATCACAGCTGATATCTCCTGGTGCTATCCCCAAACCACCACTCTTAACTCTTGAAGTAAATAAATAATCTTTGCTGGCAAGGCTATGCTGAACCTCCTTAGGCACTCTCTAATTAGATGTCCTAGGTCCTCCCAATTCTTAGACCTTTAATACCTGTTTTTCTCCTTTCCTTATTCCATTTAGTTTTTCAATTCATACAAAACTGCATCCAGGCCATCACCAGTAATTCTAAATGAAAAATGTTTCTTCTAACAATCCCACAATATCACCCCTTACCACAAAATCTTCCTTCAGCTTAATCTCTCCCACTCTAGGTTCCCACGCCGCCCCTAATCCCGCTCGAAGCAGCCCTGAGAAACATCGCCCATTCTCTCTCCATACCACCCCCCAAAATTTTCGCCATCCCAACACTTTACCACTATTTCGTTTTATTTTTCTTATTAATATAAGAAGACAGGAATGTCAGGCCTCTGAGCCCAAGCTAAGCCATCATATCCCCTGTGACCTGCACGTACACATCCAGATGGCCGGTTCCTGCCTTAACTGATGACATTCCACCACGAAAGAAATGAAAATGGCCTGTTCCTGCCTTAACTGATGACATTATCTTGTGAAATTCCTTCTTCTGGTTCATCCTGACTCAAAAGCTCCCCTACTGAGCACCTTGTGACCCCCCACTCCTGCCCACCAAAGAACAACCCCCCTTTGACTGTAATTTTCCTTTACCTACCCAAATCCTATAAAACGGCCCCACCCCTATCCCCCTTCGCTGACTCTCTTGTCGGACTCAGCCTGCCTGCACCCAGGTGAAATAAACAGCCTTGTTGCTCACACAGAGCCTGTTTGGTGGTCTCTTCACACGGACGCGCATGAAACAGACCAGCCTAGCCAACATGGTGAAACCCCGTCTCCACGAAAATACAAGAAATTAGCCGGGCGTGGCGGTGCGCACCTGTAGTTCCAGCTACTCGGGAGGCTGAGGCAGGGGAATCACTTGAACCTGGGAGGCGGAGATTGCAGTGAGCCCAGATCACACCAGCGTAGCGACAGAGTGAAACTCTGTCTCAAAAAAAAAAAAAAAAAAAAAAGAAAAAGAAGTTTTCTAAGGCCAGGCGCAGTGGCTCATGCCTGTAATCCAAGCACTTTTGGGAGGCTGAGGCGGGCAGATCACCTGAGGCCGGGAGTTCGAGACCGGCCTGACCAACATGGTGAAACCCTGTCTCTACTAAAAATACAAAAATGAGCTGGGCATGGCGGCGGGTGCCTGTAATCCCAGCTTCTTGGGTGCGGGGGGGATCTGTTCTGCAGATCCCAGCTGTACGACAGATGAGACACGTCCTCAGACACCAATATTCAGTGAAAGAGCAGGCCAGGGGGCTGCCGGCACTAGGAGCCAAAGAGAGTGCAGCCCCTCTAAGCTGGCAACGCTTGCATTTATTTAGCACAGATTTAATTAACAAAGGCTTTGAGTCAACACACCTGTGGGTAATTAACCTGGTCACCGCCCCCCGCCACCTCCCTGGAGAGGGCCATCTTGCCCGAGAATGATCAAAGGTTGATTTTAGGACCATATGACTAAGCAAGCTATTTAGATAAAATACTCCGCATTCCTTTGTATCTGCGCCCTAAGCTGTTTGGCTCCTGAAAAGAGAATCTGGCTGCTTTCAGCCAAACTATCTGAAGCTATGCCAACCTCCCTGGCCTTCCAAGAAGGTTTGCTGCTTCCTATTCCTATAATTTCTTCTGCTACTCTGACTGATCTCCCACACTTGGGAGGTTGAGGCAGGAGAATCCCTTGAACCAGGGAGGCAGAGGTTGCAGTGAGCCGAGATCACACTACTGCACTCCAACTTGGGTGACAAGAGCGAGACTCCATCTCAGAAAAAAAAGTTAAAAAAAAATTGTAGGCCAGGCGTGGTGGCTCACGCCTGTGATCCCAGCACTTTGGGAGGCCAAGGCGGGTGGATCACCTGAGGTCCAGAGTTCGAGACCAGCCTGACCAACATGGAGAAACCCCGTCTCTTCTAAAAATATAAAATTAGCCAGGCGTGGTGGCGCATGCCTGTAATCCCAGCTGCTCTGGAGGCTGAGGCAGGAGAATGGCTTGAGCCCAGGAGGCGGAGGTTGCGGTGAGCCGAGACCGCACCATTGCACTCCAGCCTGGGCAACAAGAGTGAGACTCTGTCTCAGAAAAAAAAAAAAAAAAATTGTAGTAAAAACATAACATACAATTTACCATCTTAGCCATTGTAAGTGTACAGTATAGCAGTGTTAAATGTATTCACGGTGTTTTGAAACAGATCTCCAGAATATTTTCATCTTGTAAAACTGAAACTCTATGCCTAAAAGAGGAATCGTTCAACACATAGAAGTTTTATTTCAACCATTTTTGTTGTTGTTGTTGAGATGGAGTCTTGCTCTGTCACCAAGGCTGGAGTGCGGTGGTACGATCTTGGCTCACTGCAACCTCCGCCTCCTGGGTTCAAGCCATTCTCCTGCCTCAGCCTCCTCAGTAGCTGGTAATGCAGGTGCGTGCCACCACACCTGGCTAATTTTTGTATTTTTAGTAGAGACGGGGTTTTGCCATGTTGGCCAGGCTGGTCTCGAACTCCTGGCCTCGTGATCTGCCTGCCTTAGCCTCCCAAAGTGCTGGGATTTCAGGTGTGAGCCACTGCGCTCAGCCTGGGAAATGTATACTTCAGAGATTGTTGGATTTTCAGGGCCTTCTGTGGCTTGACGTCATCTGGAAAAGTGTGGTCATTGGGAAGATATTACTTTGATTGGTTGTCACTCATGCTTGGGTGTTTACTGAAATGAGTCTGATTGGATGACTTTTAGAAGCAAGGAGCTGCCTGACTGATGGTAACATAACAATATAAAACGTATGGAGTGGCCGGGCTTTGTGGCTCACTCCTGTAATCCCAGCACTTTGAGAGGCTGAGGCAGGCAGATCACCCTGAGGTCAGAAGTTTGTGACCAGCTTGGCCAACATGGCGAAACCCGTCTGTACTAAAAATACAAAAATTATCTGCGTGTGGTGGCAGGTGCCTATAATCCCAGCTACTGGGGAGGCTGAGGCAGGAGAATTGCTGAACCCGGGAAAGAGAGGTTGCAGGGAGCCGAGGTCACGTCACTGCTCCCCAGCCTGGGTGACAGAGCAAGACCCCGTCTCAAAAAAAAAAAAAAAAAAAAAGAGCATCTTCACAGAGATGAGTTGTCATTGATGATGGGTTAAAAATCAGTTTTGGTGGCTACTTGTTACTGTGGTTACAGGACAATAAAATACTTTTCTGAAGAGCTCAGGAACTTTATTATTCTGAAAACGCTTTTTCCAAACAAGGTCCTTCTGTCAGCAAAACGACTTATATGAGTTTAATCTTATCCATCTCTGGGAATCTAGCCCCATTGTGTCTCTGTAATCCAAGTCCTGGACCTGACGTAAAGTCCCTCAACCCCCTTCATCCAAAATTGTGGCACTTTCCCTTTATTTATTTATTTATTATTTATTTGTTTGTTTACTTTTGAGACGGAGTCTCGCTCTGTGGCCCAGGCTGGAGTGTAGTGGCGTGATCTCAGCTCATTGCAAGCCCCGCCTCCCAGGTTCACGCCATTCTCCTGCCTCAGCCCCTGGAGTAGCTGGGACTACAGGCACCTGCCACCACACCTGGTGAAAAAAATCAGAACAAACTGAAGATATGGGCCAGAACTTGTATAAAGTGTGAAAAGCAGTCAATAAAGAAAGTTAGAAATACTTTGCATTTTTTTTTTAATCACAGGACCTGAGTTAAGCCAAGAATACAGTAGAAATTTTATCAAGTAGAGATAAGCTCTCAGTAAAGGATAAAAGTGGGCCTAAGTCCCTTCAGTTTCACTGGAAGTAGGACCCTTACATTTTATAATTATATTTTCATACATAAGCTACTGGACAATGAAGTAAATAGCAATCAGTGAAAGAGCCACATATGACCAACTTAGATTTCCTTGAGTAAAGTCTGTCAAGGGTAAAGCTGTGAAAGTTTATAAGAAAAAAGAATGGGGAATTATTTGGAAGACCATTTGAGTTTTGTACACAAGAATTTAATGTTTGCACACTTGATAATATATGTGAATATCATCAAAACTAAGTGAAAAAATAAATTAATGAGGTGAAACACATGCCTGTATTCCTTGTATGAAAATCCGGTAGAAATAGGGTTTGTGAAATAAATAGGGTAATCCTCCTGTAGGATTATGACTTTCACTCTTATCAATTTGTAGATGAACACAGCAGGAGGCTGAGGTAGGAGGATTGCTTGAGACCAGGAGTTCAAGACCAGCTTAGGCAACATAGGGAGAGCCTCACTTCAACAAAAAAAAATAAAGGAGGGGGGTTATTGAATATATTTGGCATGCTTACCAACCATTTATATTTGGGGAAGACACATTTAAAAATATAAAAAGAAGGCTGGGCGCAGTGGCTCACATCTGTAATCCCAGCACTTTGGGAGGCCGAGGCGGGCAGATCACGAGGTCAGAAGTTTGAGACCAGCTTGGCCAATGTGATGAAACCCCGTCTCTACTAAAAATACTGTAAAAGTAGCTGGGCGTGATGGTGGGAGCCTGCAATCCCAGCTACTTGGGAGGCCGAGGCAGGAGAATCACTTGAACCCAGGAGGCAGAGGTTGCAGTGAGCCGAGATCGTGCCACTGCACTCCAGCCTGGGCAACAGAGTGAGACTCTGTCTCAAATAAAAATAAAAATAAAAATAAATAAAATAAATAAAAAAAGAGAAGAACAATGAAGGAAGAAATTAAACAGGATATAAAAAATCAGAAGACAGATAAGATGGAAAACCATAACTTATGTGCAGAAAGGTGGGTGCAAATCGATCAGTCCTGCATAAGAAAACACCATTTGATTGGTTTGAACATGCATCTGGCCAGGCGTGGTGGCTCATGCCTATAATCTCAGCACTTTGGGAGGCCAAGGTGGGTGGATCACCTGAGGTCAGGAGTTCGAGACCAGCCTGGCCAACACAGTGAAACCCCATCTCTACTAAAAATACAAAAATTAGCTGGGTGCAGTGGTATGTGCCTGTAATTCCAGCTACTTGGGAGGCTGAGGCACAAGAATCACTTGAACCCAAGAGGTTCAATGAGCCGAGATTGCTCCACTGCACTCCAGCCTGGGTGACAGAGCCAGACTCTGTCTCAAAAAAAAAAAAAAGTAGATTCAAGCTTCTTAGTGAGCTTTTCTCTCTTGTGTCCTTCAAGTAGCTTTGTCGGACTCCACAGTCCTGGCTCCTCTCTGCCTTCACCTCCAGGTGTTTACTTGCAGACACTTGGTGTTCGTGCAAAGGTCAATCCTGGCTGACACATCTGTTGGCTCCAGCTCGGTTCAGCCACATCTGCCGAGGCTTCCTTGTTCAGTGCCGTATGGCTGTGCCAATTTTCAACCAGTATGGCCAAGAGAGCCACGAGGACCAGTCCTGCCACGGCCATGCGGATCAAGTTCTGCGTCGTGTAATCTTGGTGGATGGAGTCTGGAGACACAATTCAAGGAGATGAATGGTTGGTGGTTGTGTTCCATTCCATCCCAACCCCAGAGCCCTGAAACGGGAGCTCATTTTCCTTTTCGCTTGCCAAAATGGGACTCCCTCAAGCATCCCCTCAATGAGCTCATGCTTCGCCAGCACCACACTGATCAGTCAGCAAGACTGTGTTCACGGGCAAGGAACTGTGCTTCCCAGGGAAGTGCTATAAACTGGGAAGGAGGTGATTATGGGCAGGTTGTGTGTGTTTTTTTTTTTTTTTTTTTTTGAGATGGAGTCTCACTCTGTTGCCCAGGCTGGAGTGCAGTGGCGTGATCTCGGCTCACTGCAACCTCCGCCTCCCTGGTCAAGTGATTCTCCTGCCTCAGCCTCCCAAGTAGCTGGGATTACAGGCGCCCACCACCACCACGCCTGGTTAATTTTTGTATTTTTAGTGGAGATGGGGTTTCACTATGTTGGCCAGGCTGGTCTCGAACTCCCGACCTCAGGTGATCCACCTGCCTCAGCCTCCCAATGTGCTCAGATTACAGGCGTGAGCCATCGTGCCCAACCATGTTTTTTTTTTTTTTCTTGAGGTGGAGTCTCGTTCTGTCACCCAGGCTGGAGTGCAATGGCGTGATCTTGGCTCACTGCAACAGCTGCCTCCTGGGTTCAAGTGATTCTCCTGCCTCAGCCTCCTGAGTAGCTGGGACGACAGGCTCACGCCACCACGCCCGGCCAGGCAGGTTGTGTTTTCTTTTCATTCTCTCCTCACTTGGTGAATTCACTAAATACCTAATCACATCTCTACAACACCAGAACAAGGTGGAATCCTAATAAGAATGTGTGCAGCCTGGCCAGGCGCGGTGGCTCACGCCTGTAATCCCAGCACTTTGGGAGGCCGAGGCAGGTGGATCACCTGAGGTCGGGAGTTCGAGACCAGCCTGGCCAACATGGTGAAACCCTGTCTGTGTGGTCCCAGCTACTCAGGAGGCTGAGGCAGGAGAATTGCTTGAACCTGGGAGGCGAAGGTTGCAGTGAGTCGAGATCGTGCCACTGCACTCCAGCCTTGGCGAAAGAGCAAGACTCTATCCCGGAAAATAAAATGAAATAAATAAAATGAAACAAACTGAGTTAGCCCTTCTGTTCTCCACAGACTAAGTTTTCAATGAACCCTGTCTGGAGAACTCTAGCGAGGAAGTGAAAGCGGAAAGTGTGGTGGGGAAGCCTTTCTCTCTCCACTGTCCTGGAGTGAGAGCCTTTGCCTCTCTTCACTTCACTCTCAGTGCACGTCTTCATATTCCTGCCCGGTGGCAAGGCCCTGGACAGCCAACCCAGACACAGGGCTGGACTGGGCGGTACCTACCTGTGACCACAAGCTCCAAGGCATTACTGGGGAAGGACCACAGGTAGGGGCTCCTGTTGTACCAACCGTAGCACCTGTAGATCCCTGAGACATTGAGGTCCACAGGACCCAAAGAGAAGTTGGCCGGGTGTTCCCCACTTTGGTGCTGTGGCAGAGAAAGTTCTCCCTCCTTGGCCAGTGAAAATCTATCAAATGGGATGTGTGCTGAGCTGCACGTGAGGGAAATATTCTCTCCTGGCATCAACACCAGACCCCGATCTGCAGAGAGGAAGGGTTTGCCATACAAGCCTAAGAGAGAAAAGAGTGAGCTATTAGAAAGACCTTTTCTCCTTTATTCTTTTCTTCTTCTTATTATTGTTATTATTATATATTTTTTTGAGATGGAGTTTCGCTCTTATTGCCCAAGCTGGAGTGCAGTGGCGTGATCTCAGCTCACTGCAACCTCCGTCTCCCGGGTTCAAGCAATTCTCCTGCCTCAGCCTCCCGAGAAACTGGGATTACAGGTGCGTACCACCACGCCCAGCTAATTTTTGTATTTTTAGTAGAGACGGGGTCTCTCCATGTTGGTCAGGCTGGTCTCGAACTCCTGACCTCAGGTGATTTGCCCACCTTGGCCTCCCAAAGTGCTGGGATTACAGGCATGAGCAACTGTGCCCAGCCTATTATTGTTTTTTGAGATGGAGTCTCACTCTGTCACTGAGGCTGCAGTGCAGTGGCACGATCTCAGCTCACTGCAACCTCCACCTCCGAGGTTCAAGTGAGTCTCCTGCCTCAGCCTCCCGAGTAGCTGGGATTACAGGCACCCGCCACCACGCCCAGCTAATTTTTGTATTTTTAGTAAAGATGAGGTTTCTCCATGTTGGTCAGGCTGGTCTTGAATCCCTGACCTCAGGTGATCCACCTGCCTCAGCCTCCCAAAGTGCTGGGATTACAGGCGTGAACCACAGTGCCCAGCCTCTTTTTTCTTTTTTAGAATTTATTTATTTTAGAGAGGGTCTCACTCTGTCGCCCAGGCTGAGGGCAGTGGCATAATCACGGCTCACTGCAGCCTCGACCTCCCAGGCTCAGGTGATCCTACCATCTCAGCCTCTCAAGTAACTGAGACTACAGGTGGGTGCCACCATGCCCAGCTAATTTTTTGATTTTTTGTACAGATGGGGTCTTACTATGTTGCCCAGGCTGGTCTCCTGGGCTTAAGTGATCTGCCCATCTCGGCTTCTCAAAGTGCTGGGATTACAGGCGTGAGCCACGGCGCCCAGCCTCCCAAAGTGCTGGGATTACAGGCACGAGCCACGGTGTCTGGCCACAGTTACTACTTCAGCCAGGCTTTCAACAACAGCCAGCTCAACATCCACAGTCATGTTCCCATGGACAGTTTAAACCTTTGCTATGAGGAGATGAAATGGCACTTTGCTTCTGTGGTCTTGCCTGCAATGACCCATAACTCAGTCTAGTCATGAGCAAAACATCGGACAATTTCCAGTAGTGGGAGTACCCTTGAAAATAATGGACCACTACCCTCAAAACTGACAAGGTCATGGAAAACCAGCAACATCTGAGAAGCTGTGACAGCCAAGACAAACCTAAAGATACATGACACCTGCCGGGCACGGTGGCTCACGCCTGGAATCCCAGCACTTTGGGAGGCCAGGTGCGGTGGCTCATGCCTGTAATCCCAGCATTTTCGGGGGCCGGGCGTGGTGGCTCACGCCAGTAATCCCAGCACTTTGGGAGGCCAGGCGGGCGGATCACGAGGTCAGAAGATTGAGACCATCCTGGCTAACACAGTGAAACCCTATCTCTACTAAAAATACAAAAAATTAGCCAGGCGTGGTGGCGGGCGCCTGTAGTCCCAGCTACTCGGGAGGCTGAGGCAGGAGAATGGCGTGAACCCGGGAGGTTGGAGCTTGCAGTGAGCCGAGATTGTGCCACTGCACTCCAGCCTGGGCAACACAGCGGGACTCCATCTCAAAAAAAAAAAAAAAAAAAAAAATAAAGATACATGACACCTGAATGCAATGTGAAATCTTTTTGTGTGTGTGTGTGTGAGATGGAGTCTCGCCCTGTCGCCCAGCCTGGAGTGCAGTGGTGTGATCTTGGCTCACTGCAACCTCTGCCTCCTGGGTTCAAGCGATTCTCCTGCCTCAGCCTCCCAAGTAGCTGGGATTACAGGCGTGTGCCACCAGGCCTGGCCAATTTTTTCCATTTTTAGTAGAGACGAGGTTTCACTGTGTTGGCCAGGCTGGTCTCGAACTCCTGACCTCAGGTGATCCACCCACCTCAGCCACCCAAAGTGTTGGGATTACAGGCGTGAGCCACCGCGCCCAGCGATTGTTGCATTTTCAGTAGAGACGGGGAATTCACCATGTTGGCCAGGCTGGTCTCGAACTCCTGACCTTGGGTGATCCACCCGCCTCGGCTTCCCTAAGTGTTGGGATTACAGGCGTGAGCCACCACTCCCAGCCGCAATGTGAAATCTTGAATGGGATCCTGGAACAGAGAAAGACTATCAGGTAAAAACTAAGAAAATGTAAATAAACTGTAGACTGTAGCTGGGAATGTGTCGATATTTGTTCATTAATGGTAAGAAATGTGCCATACTAATGTAAGATGTTAACTCTGGGGGAAGTGGGGTGCCAGATGGCTGAGAACTCTCTGAAGCAATCATCAATTTTTTTTTGTTTGTAAATCTAAAACTTCTTGAAAAATACTCTATTAAAAATAAGAAAAAAATCACACCAGGGCTGTGGACCCTGGATGTTTCCTTACCTGTCACTACCAGCTCCAGGGTGTCACTGTACCGGAACCTGTAGTGCCCTATCCTATATTGGCACTGATAGCGCCCTGCCTTGTTTGCGTCCATGTGGTCAATGACGAACTCAGGATCAGTCTCATTCCAAAACTTCAGTCTTCTGCCTATCTCTCGGTACGTGGAGTTTTTTATGATCATCAGCTGGGTCAGGTAAGCTTCACGAATGGCCTGGCACTGGATTTTCACAGATCCATCCAAGGGAATCACAGGACTCGATTTGGCAGATATGAAAGGCATGGGAAAGTCCCCTGGAAGAAAAGAAAGCCCAGACTGAGGTGGCTTGCCATGGGGAAGCCATTCCTTTCCTTCTCTGTGGGAGAAGTAAAAATACATTAGGGTGTGAAGAACCTACCATTCTTTATTTAAAAAAAAATTTAGGCCGGGTGCGGTAGCTCACGCCTGTATTCCCAGCACTTTGGGAGGCCGAGGCGGGTGGATCACAAGGTGACGATATCAAGACCATCCTGGCTAACACGGTGAAACCCCGTGTCTACTGAAAATACAAAAAATTAGCAGGACGTGGTGGCGGGCGCGTGTAGTCCCAGCTACTCGGGAGATTGGGGCAGGAGAATGGCGTGAACCTGGGAGGCAGAGCTTGCAGTGAGCCGAGATCACACCACTGCACTCCAGCCTGGGCAACAGAGTGAGACTTCGTCTCAACAACAACAACAAAAAAATTAAAAAAAGAGAAAAATTTAAATAATTTGTGATGCTGAGGTTTGGAGTACGATTGATCCTGTCACCCAGGTACTGAGCATAGTACCCAATAGGCAGTTTTTCAACCCCCTTTCTTCCCCCCCATCTAGTAGTCTCCAGTGTCTATGGTTGCCATCTTTATTTTTTATTGTTATTATTTTTCGAGACAGAGTCTTGTTTTGTCGCCCAGGCTGCAGTGCAGTGGTGCAATCTCAGCTCCTCCGCCTCCCGGGTTCAAGCAATTCTGCTGCCTCAGCCTTCCGAGTAGCTGGGATTACAGGTGCCCACCACCATGCCTGGATAATTTTTGTATTTTTAGTAGAAACGGGGTTTCACCATGTTGGCCAGGCTGGTCTTGAACTCCTGACTTCAAGTGATCCACCTGCCTCGGCCTCCCAAAGTGCTGGGATTACAAGCGTGAGCCACCGCACCTGGCTGCAACTGGGGTTTTTGCAGAGGCAACACTGAAGCCAGGGGGACCTCCGCAGGCATTGACCCCAGAGCAGTCGGGTGCCGTTACCACAGCCCCCGCAGAGGCCACGGGCATGGTGCGTGGGAGCAGTGAGATGGCTCCACCTGCCGTTACTCCACAAGGCTCAAGGCCAGTTTCCAGCATAGTGGCCCAGCTTCTGCCTGAACTCTGCCCGGGGTCGTGGCTGCATGCTTCCCTGGAAAGCACCCAGATGGTGAAGTGGGTGACTCCACCCACCCCTGCCACTTGCAGCCAGACGGGCCAGGCTTGCTGGGTCTTCCAGCGCTGCAGACCCCCTTCTGCCTGAACTCTGTGGGGTGTGCAGCTCTGTGTTTTTCTTTTCTTTTCTTTTTTTGTTGAGATGAAGTCTCACTCTGTTGCCCAGGCTGGAGTGCAGTGGTGTGATCTTGGCTCACTGCAAGCTCCGCCTCCCGGGTTCACACCATTCTTCTGCCTCAGCCTCCCGAGTAGCTGGGACTACAGGCGCCCGCCACCACGCCTGGCTAATTTTTTTTTGTATTTTTAGTAGAGACGGGGTTTCACCATGTTATCCAGGATGGTCTCAGTCTCCTGACTTCGCAATCTGCCCATCTCGGCCTCCTAAAGTACTGGGATTACACGTGTGAGCCACCATGCCCAGTAGCTCTGTGTTCCCCTGGGAAGCACTGAGATGGCAGATCATGTGGCTCCAATCACCCTTGCTGAGAAGGACTCACCACGTTAGGTGGCGACCAAGCCGTGAGGAGCCCTCATTCTCAGAACGTTCAGAGGGGTGAAACACCTGATTTCATCAGCCTGCAGAGGTGCGGGGTGGTCCTCCCTCCATAGGGCTGGCCGGGGAAGGATACAGCCTGTCTGCCCACCATGCCCTGCCTGAGGGAGCCCCGTGGGCAGAACAATCCTAACAAAGGAAACAGTGGGTGCAGAGCCAGTGACTGTAGGAGGCTCCTCCAAGGCCCAAGAATGGACCAGGCGAGGGAGTCACCCCTCCTCACAACCACAGAGCACTACTGCCGACTTTGTCAAAATACAAGAGTTAGGGGGCCAAGGCAGGCAGATTGCTTGAGCCCAGGAGTTTGAGACCAGCCTGGTAAACATGGTGAAACCCCATCTCTACAAAAAAAAAAAAAAAATTACAAAAATTTTCTCTTTATGGTGCTGCGTGCTTGTAGTCCCAGCTACTCAGGAGGCTGAGGCAGGAGGATCACTTAGCCTGATAGGTAGAGGCTGCAGTGAGCCGAGATTGTGCCACTGTGCTCCAGCCTGGGCGACAGAACAAGACCCTGTGTCAAAAAACGAAACAAAAAACGAAACAAAACTACAAAAGAGCCTTGTGGCTAAGATCCTGTATGCTGGCCAACCCTTTTAAGTGCCACCTACTGGATCACACTTCAAAATACAACACTGAAAAATTTTGCCAGTATACAATGAAGGGAAAAATTCAGCCACAAATAAAGATCCTGTGCAGAGTCCTGGCATCTGAAAACACCCAGAAATGAAGCCAAGCGACTGTACTCAACCGACATCACAGTTAAAGGAACACCAGCCCTCACACAAGAGAAAGAATCAACACCAAGGCCGGGCGCGGTGGCTCACACCTGTAATCCCAGCACTTTGGGAGGCTGAAGTGGGCAGATCACCGGAGGTCAAGAGTTTGAGACCAGCCTGACCAACGTGACAAAACCCGGGCTCTACTAAACATACAAAAATTAGCCGGGCGTGGTGGCACACACCTGTAATCCCAGCTACTCAGGAGGCTGAGACAGGAGAATCGCTTGAACCCGGGAGGTGAAGGTTGCAGCAGTGAGCTGAGATCGTGCCACTGCACTCCAGCCTGGGCGACAGAGTAAGACTCTGCCACAAAAAAGAAAAAAAAAAGAAAAAAAAAAAAGAATCAACACAAGAACTCTGGCAACTCGATAGTTCCCCAGAAATCTGGTTCTTAGCTACATTGAGATGAATGAAACGAGGGTTATAGAATTCAGAATCTGGATGGCCAGGACGCTCTTCGAAATTGAGGAGAAATTTGAAACACAATCCAAGGGGTCCATGGTGGGGACACACTGGCTTTTTGAGTTCCCAGAATTCTTTTTCATGTGTGGGGGCCCGGTCATTATGCCACAGCCATCAGACAGAGAGGAGTCCAGTCTCTCTTCCCCGTGAGCTCCCACCCCCACTTTACCAGGCAGAGCCCCCAGCTCGGGAGTGCAGAGCAGCTGCCCCGCCCTCAGCACACTCACTGGTGGTGGCTCGTGTTTCCCTGGGGAGTGGCTCCCAGAGGCAACTGACAGCCCCTCTGCCACTGCCATGGCAAGGGTTCTGCCTCTGCTGCCCGTGATCTGGGGAAGAAGCAAGGAGCCTGGGGCCTTCATTCATGCTTCAATTTATTTATTTATTTATTTATTTATTTATTTATTTATTTATTTATTTATTTGAGACGGAGTCTCGCTCTGTCGCCCACGCTGCAGTGCAGTGGCCCGATCTCGGCTCACTGCAAGCTGCGCCTCCCGGGTTCACACCATTCTCCTGCCTCAGCCTCATCCTCCTCCCGAGTAGCTGGGACTACAGGCGCCCGCCACCACGCCCGGCTCATTTTTTGTGTTTTCAGTAGAGACGGGGTTTCACCAGATTAGCCAGGATGGTCTCGATCTCCCGACCTCGTGATCCGCCCGCCTCGGCCTCCCAAAGTGCTGGGATTCCGGGCGTGAGTCCACCGCGCCCGGCCTTCATTCATGCTTCCAGCACACCGCAGTCGCCATACGGAGAGGAGCTCAGTCTCCTCTCCCTGTGAGCCCTCAACCCCCTGCTCTTCAACAAGCCCCAGCTTGATTCCGCGGCACAACAGCCCCACCCTCTGGCGGAGCGTTCCCAGCAGCTGTGAGTCTGCGTTTCTCTGTGGCGGAGCTCCCAGAGGCAACGGAAGGTCACTCTGCCGCTGCCACTGCGGTGGTACTGGCCTTGCTGCCCTCAGACTGGGGAAGGAGCAAAGACTCTGAGTGCTTCAACCACACCTCCGGCAAACTGCCCTAAGGAGAAGAGGCCAGTCTGTCACCCCTGTGACCCACCTGTCCCCCCTGCTCATCACTAGGCAGGGCCCCTAGCTTGGACCCACAGTGCAGTCGCCTCACTCTTGGCTCATCGCACTGATAGTGGCTCCACATCTCTCTGGGGTGGAGTTCCAAGGGACAAGTGAAAGGCCGTCTGCCACAACCGCTGCTAAGGTCCCTTCCCCTGCTGCCCCCAAGCCACGGAGGGAACATAAAGTCTGAGCTCACCCCAGAGCTGTGATGTGCAGCCTGGGAGTGCCGAGCCCAGATCTGCAGCCAGCACTTGGGTGGGAGAGGAGCCCGCACTTTCAGAGCGTGAGAGGGAGCACAGCGGCAATCATGAGGAATGACCTACTGGCCGTTGTGCTGAAGCATCATTTACCGGATTGCAGCCCAAACTTCAACACCAAAAATGCTCGCTAATATACCTCCCTGTGAAACCAAGGACAAGAATTTAGCTATAAATAAAGACCCTGTGCGAAGCCCCAGCCCTCTGAAACCATCCAGAAAAGAAGTCTACTGACTGTGCTCAAATTACATCACGGTTAAAAGAAAAAAGAAAAAAATTCAAATTGCAGCACACTCAAAGGAACATTAGCCCACATGGATGAGAAAGAACTGAGCAAGAACTCCATCAACTCAAAAAGCAACAGTGTCTTCCTTCCTCCAAATTACCACACAAGCTTCCCAGCAAGGGCTCTTTACCTGGCTGAAATGACAGAAATAGAATTCAGAATATGGATAGAAATTAAGGTCATCAAGATTCAGGAGAAAGTTGAAACCCAATGCAAGGAACCTAAAGATTACAATAAAATGACAGAGGGGCTAATCTATGAGATGGTCATTTTGAAAGAACCAAACGGATCTGATGGAGCTGAAAAACACACTACGAGATTTCATAATGCGATCACAAGTATTAATGGCAAAATAAAGCAAAATAAGGAAAGAATCTCAGAGCATGAATACTGGCTCTCTGAACTAATTCAGTCAGACAAAAATGAAGAAAAAGAATAAAAATTAATGAACAAAACCTCTAAGAAATATGGGATCATGAAAAGAGACCAAATAGCCCATTGGCATCCCCGAAAGAGATGGGGAGAAAGCAAGGAACATGGAAAACATATTTCAGTGTATTGTTCATGAAAACTTCCCCAACGTCACTAGAGAGGCCAAGAATCAAATGCAGGAAACAGAGAACCCCTGCAAAATACTACACAAGAAGAGCATCCCCAAGACACAAAATCATCAGATTCTTCAAGGTAGAAATGAAAGAAAGAAATGTCGGCCGGGCGCGGTGGCTCACGCCTGTAATCCCAGCACTTTGGGAGACCAAGGCGGGCGGATCACGAGGTCAGGAGATTGAGACCATCCTGGCTAACATGGTGAAACCCCATCTCTACTAAAAAAATATAAAAAATTAGCTGGGCGTGGTGGTGGGCACCTGTAGTCCCAGCTACTGGGGAGGCTGAGGCAGGAGAATGGCGTGAATCCGGGAGGCGGAGCTTGCAGTGAGCCGAGATCACGCCATTGCACTCCAGCCTGGCAGCCTGGGCAACAGAGCAAGACTCAGTCTCAAAAAAAAAAAAAAAAATGTGAAAAGGCAGCAAAAAAGAAGGGGCAGGTCACCTACAAAGGGAATGCCATCGAGCTAACAGCAGACCTTTCAGCAGAAACTCTACAATCCAGAAGAGATTGGGGGCCTATATTTAATGTTCTTATGAAAAGAATTTCCAACCAAGAATCTCATTCCCAGCCAAACTAAGTTTCATAAGTGAAGGAGAAATAAGATCCTTTACAGACAAGCAAATGCTGAGGGAATTTATTACCATCAGGCCTGCCTTACAAGAGGTCCTAAGAGGAACGCTAAATATGGAAAGAAAAGACCATCACCAGCCAATAGAAAACACACTTACGTACATAAACCAGTGACACTATAAAACAACCACACAAACAAGTCTGCATAATAACCAAACCAGCTAACAACATGATGACAGGAAAAAATCTGCACATGTAAATGCTAACTTTGAATGTAAATGGACTAATTGTCCTAATTAAAATGCAGAGAGTGGCAAGTTGGATAAAGAAGCAAGAGGCCAGGTGCAGTGGCTCACGCCTGTAACCCTGGCACTTTGGGAGGCTGAGGTGGGTGGATCATTTGAGGTCAGGAGTTCGACATTAGCCTGGCCAATGTGATGAAATCCCATCTCTAATAAAAAAAAAAAATAGCTGGGCGTGGTGGTACACACCTGTAATCCCAGCTATTTGGGAGGCTGAGGCAGGAGAATCATTTGAACCTGGGAGGCAGAAGTTGCAGTGAGTCAAGATCATACCACTGCACTCCAGCCTGGGTGACAGAGTGAGACTCCATCTCAAAAAAAAAAAAAAAAAAAAAAGCAAGACTCAACATTATGCTGCCTATAAGAAACCCATCTCATATGCAATGACATCCATAGGCTCAAAGTAAAGAAATGGAGAAAAATCTACCAAGCAAATGGAAAGCCAAAAAAAAAAAAAAATGCAGGAGCTGCTATTAAAATTTCAGACAAAACAGACTTTATACCAACAAAGATCAAAAAAGGCAAAGAAGGGCATTAAATCATGGTAAAGGGTTCAATTCAACATGAAGACCATAGCAGGACAGTGGCCACGGAAGTCGGAATCTGCTAAGGAGTGTGTAATAGCCCAACTGCTGAATCAAAAAGAAAAAGAAAAAAAAAATTAAAAAAAGAGCATGAAGACCTAACTATCCTAAATATATATGCACCTAACATGGAAGCACCCGGATTCATAAAGCGTGTTCTGAGAGACCAACGAAGAGACTTAGACAACCACACAATAATAGGGGGAGACTTTAACATCCCGCCGACAGTATTAGATCATTGAGGCAAACAGAGATATTCAGGACCTGAACTCAGCAGTGGATCAAATGGACCTGACAGACATCTACAGAACTCTCCACCCCCAAAACAACAGAATCTACATTGTTTTCATTGCCTCATGGCACATACTCTAAAGTCAATCATACAATCAGACATACAGCAATCCTTAGCAGGCTGGGCACGGTGGCTCACACCTGTAATCCCAGCACTTTGGGAAGCCAAGGCTGGCGGATCATGAGGTCAGGAGATCGAGACCATCCTGGCTAACGCAGTGAAACCCCGTCTTTACTAAAAATACAAAAAAAATTAGCCGGGCGGGGTGGCGGGCACCTGTAGTCTCAGCTACTCAGGAGGCTGAGGCAGGAGAATGGTGTGAACCTGGGAGGCGGAGCTTGCAGTGAGCCTAGATTGCGCCACTGCACTCCAGCCTGGGCGACAGAGCAAGACTCCATTTCAAAAAAAAAAAAAACAATCCTTAGCAAATCCAGAAAAGCGAAATCAGAGCACAGTGGAATAAAAATAGGAATAAATACTAAGAAAACCACTCAAAACTGTACAATGCATGGAAATTAAGCAGTCTGTTCTGGAATTTTTGGGTAAATATAGCAGAATCTCTGGGACACAGCTAAGGCAGTGTTAAGGGGGAAGTTTATAGCACTAAACTCCCACTTCAAAAAGCTAGAAAAAGTTCAAATTAACAACCTAACATCATAACAAGAGGAACTAAGAGAACCAAGAGGAAATCAACCCCAAAGCTCATAGGAAACAAGAAATAACCAAAATCAGAGCTGAGCTGAAGGAGATTGAGACACGAAAAAGCATTCAGAAGATCAGCAAATCGAGGAGTAGAATTTTTGAAAAAATTAGTAAGACAGATGACTAGTTAGACTAATAAAGAAGAAAAGAGAGATGATCCGGATAAACACAATTAGAAACAACAAAGGGTATATTACCACTCACCCCACAGAAATACAATCATCAGAGAATATTATGAACACCTCTATGCACACAAACTAGAAAATCCAGAATAAATGGAGAAATTCCTGGACACATACACCCTCCTGAGATCAAACCAAGAATAAATTGAATACATGAACAGACCAATAATGAGCTCCAAAATTGAATCAGTAATAAAAATCCTACAGACCAGAAAAAGCCCAGTACCAGACAGACTCACAGCTGAATCCCATCTGATATATAAAGAAGAGCTGGTACTATACCTACTGAAACGTTCCAAAAATATTCAGGAGGAGGAATGCCTCCCCAGCTCATTCTATGAGACCAGCATCATCTTGATGCAAAAACATGGCAGAGACACAACAAAACCAGAAAACTTCAGGACAATATCCTTGTTGAACATAAATGCAAAAATCCTCAACAAAATACTAGCAAACTATCCAGCAGCACATCAGAAAGCTAATCCACCACCATCAGGTAGGCTTTATTTCTGGGATGCAAGGTTGATTCGATATAGGAGTCTCGCTCTGTTGCCCAGGCTGGAGTGTAGTGGCGTGAACTTGGCTCACTGCAAGCTCCGCCTCCTGGATTCACGCCATTCTCCTGCCTGAGCCTCCCGAGCAGCTGGGACTACAGGTGCCCACCACCACGCCTGGCTAATTTTTTTGTGTTTTTTAGTATAGACGAGGTTTCACCGTGTTAGCCAGGATGGTGTCGATCTCCTGACCTCATGATCCACAAGCCTTGGCTTCCCAAAGTGCTGGGATTACAGGCATGAGCCACAGTGCCCGGCCAATATACACAAATCTTAAATATGATTCATCACATAAATAGAACAACCCTCCCCACACACATAATCCTCTCAATAGAGCTTTTGATAAAATTCAACATCCCTTTATGCTAAAAAACCTCGACAAACTAGGCATTGAAGAAACATATTTCAAAATAATAAGAATGATGTATGACAAACTCACAGTCAACATCATATTGAATGGGCAAAAGCTGGAAGTATTCCCCTTGAAAACTGGCAAAAGACATGGATGCCGTCTCTCACTACTTCTGTTCAACATAGTACTGGAGGTCCTAGCTAGAGCAATCAGGCAAGAGAGAAATAAAAGGCATCCAAATAGGAAGAAAGGAAGTCAAACTATCCCTGTTTGCAGGTGATATGATTCTATACCTAGAAAACCACAGTCTCTGCCCAAACACTTCTTAATCTGATAAACAACTTTAGCAAAGTTCCAGGATACAAAATCAATATATAAAAATCAGTAGCATTCCTATACACCAAAAACATCTAAGCTGAGAGCCAAATCAAGAATAGAATCCATTCACAATTACTGCAAAAAGAATAAAATACCTGGGAATACAGCTAACCAGGGAGGTGAAAGATCTCTGCAAGGAGAACTACAAAACACTGGTCAAAGAAATCATAGATGACACAAACAAATGGAAAAACATTCCATGCTCATGGATAGGAAGAATGAGTATTGTTCAACACACAAATAATTCAGGCTTTAGAAGGAGCTGGAAGAGAGAAGACATGGATGGACGTGGGGCTCACACCCATTAGGAGGCTAAGGCAGTAGTAGTTGGGGTGGCAGAATATTCAGTAGTACACTAAGACTGCCTCATGCTTAGTACTGCAGTAGTACTACAGAATGCTAGAGTGTTCAGTAGGGTTAGACTATGGCAGCATCCTTTTAAATGAAGTGACGGGAGGAAGTGGGTTGCTAAAACAAAATAGAATCAGCATAAGGAAGGATATTGGGCAGATGACTCCTGACTTCCTCATTCTTGCAGTTTGAGCATTCAGTAAATTACAGATCCTTCATGGACAGTCTAACACAGGCAAGGACTAACTATAAATCCAGGCCTGAGCATTAATGAGTCTGAAGGGTTTGGAGATAACAAAGTGAGATAGAAATTATGCAAGAGAAGCACAGCAGAAACAACTAGAATGGGGATTAAAATAAGAATGGTGCTTCAGGCTATTCTTCAATTTCTTTATCCTAGAGCTCCCAAGAGGGTCTAAAGGGGCTGGGAGAGATTTACAGGACACTTACCTTCCTGTGCCTGAATCCTCTGGCCCAGACAGAGCACTGGAAGAGAGAGATTTATGAAAAATCAAGCTTCCATTTCCAACCTTTACGACAAATCACCCTCTGTAATGACAGACCAGAAAAAGACCAGTACCAGATGGATTCACAGCTCAATCCCACCAGATATATAAAGAAGAGCTGGCATTTTTTTTTTTTTTTGAGACAGAGTCTCGCTGTGTCGCCCAAGCTGGAGTGCAGTGGCATGATCTTGGCTCACTGCAAGCTCTGCCTCCCAGGTTCATGCCATTCTCCTGCCTCAGCCGCACGAGTAGCTGGGACTACAGGCGCCCGCCACCACGCCTGGCTAATTTTTTTGTATTTTTAGTAGAGACAGGGTTTCACCATGTTGGCCAGGATGGTTTTGATCTCCTGACCTTGTGATCCGCCTGCCTTGGCCTCCCAAAGTGCTGGGATTGCAGGTGTGAGCCACTGCGCCCGGCCAAGAAGAGCTAGTATTATTCCTACTGAAACTATTGAAAAAAATCCTGGAGGAGGGACTCCTCCCCAACTCATTCTATGAGGCCAACATTATCCTGATAACAAAATGTGGCAGAGATACAACAAAAACAGAAAACTTCTGGATAATATCTTTGTTGAACATAAATGCAAAAATCTTCAACAAAATACTAGTAACCATATTTCTATATGGGGTTCTATCATATGTTTTCCTTCCACAACAATCACAGTTTTGAGGTTCATTCTTTATTTTTACCTTTCAGATTCCAGCCTCTAAGTCTCTCCTTGATAAGAACCTTGGGACCATCATGAATCCCAGATAACACACTATAGGTTTAATACAAATATTAAACCTTGAGCCCCACAAGCTAGCTTGGGCTTGGGTAGAGACAAAGTTATAGATACATTGACAAAGACGGCCTTTCCACTAAGGAGATCAGAATCTCCTTGGCAGCCACTAAAATCTCCTAGTCACACTGTTAAGAGACACCCTGATTATTTTGGGATTTCTCTATCTTCCCCTCTAACCCACTTTTACTCTGAAACTCACCAAGACACAGGAGGGTGGTCTGTTTGGGGTCCATCGTGCTGACACGGCCTCAGCCCCGTTGCTCTCCTTTCAATGCACATTAGCAGGATGACAGATATTCTTACGACAATAAGCTCCGCAGGAAGTATGAGGACAGAGCCCCTCGTCAGGGAATTTCCACATCTATTGCCTCACAACAAAGTGGAACAGTTCGTTGCCGAATAACTTAGTTCCAGGTTGCTCTTGGGTGGAGCCCAAGAGAAGACATATATATGTATATTTTTTTAAATAGAGATGGGGTCTTTCTATGTTGGCCAGGGTAGTCTCTAACTTCTGGCATCAAGAAATCCTCCTGCCTAAGACCTATATTTCTATTTATGTTTCAGATGAGAAACGAATGAGAAGTGAATTTTCATTAAGCCAGTGTCTAATGGTGTTCAAATTCATCTTTGAACCAGATGCTACATCCAAATAGACGGGCTTGGGACAGAATATAAGGTGGTGGATACCATACAGGCAGACATTGCCTTCACTGGGCCATTAGTCAAAAGCTCTGTGGCTTTGTCTGTTCTGAACCTATGTTTCATCTCTGAGATTCATGGTCTGAGTATATTTACTTGGACTTGACCAGGCATGCAGTATACCCTTATCCTGGAGATGATCTCAATGCCAGAGTGTGGAGGCATTTTCTCTGGCACTATTTGTCATCTCTAAAGAAAGAATCTACTATTTTATTATACTTTTTTGTTTATTTGTATAAATTTAAGGAGCGCAAGTGAAATTTTATTACGTGGATATTTTGTGTAGTGGTGAAGTCTGGGCTTTTAATATAATTATCCTCAAATAATGTACATTGTTGCTCATTGAGTATTTTTTTAACTTTTATTTTAGGTTCAAGGGTACATGGGAAGGTTTGTTATACAGGTAAACTTGTGTCATGGGGGTTTGTTGTACAGATTATTTCATCACCTAGGTAATAAGCTTGGTACCTAATAGTTACTTTGCCTGCTCCTTTCCCGCCTCCCACCCTCCACCCTAAAGGAGACCCCATTGTCTGTTTTTCCCTTTTTTGTGTTCATGAGTTCTATTATTTAGCTTCCACTTATAAGTGAGAACCTGCTGTATTTGGTGTTCTGTTCTTGTATAGTTTGCTAAGGATAATGGCCTCCAGCTCCATCCATGTTTCCACAAAACATATGAACTCATTCTTTTTTTATGGCTTCAAATTAATTTTATTTTTATCTTATTATTTATGTTATTTTGATTGTAGACTCCTGGCTATCACGAATTCTTCAGGTATGGAGAGTGAAATATTCCTAATTAAACCTTCTACTATTTTATTTTATTTTATTTATTCTTTTTTTTTTTTTGAGACGGAGTCTTGCTCTGTCGCCCAGGCTGGAGTGCAGTGGCGTGATCTCAGCTCACTGCAAGCTCCACTTCCTGGGTTCATGCTATTCTCCTGCCTCAGCCTCCCGAGTAGCTGGGACTACAGGCATCCGCCACCACGCCCGGCTAATTTTTTTTGTATTTTCAGTAGAAACGGGGTTTCACCGTGTTAGCCAGGATGGTCTCGATCTCCTGACCTCGTGATCCACCCACTTCGGTCCCCCAAAGTGCTGGGATTACAGGCGTGAGCCACCGCGCCCCACTTTATTTTCATTTTAATACATCATAACTTAGCCCTTCCAACGCCGAAGTATTTTGAAGTCCTGAGCTTGTCCCATATTTCAGAAAGCCGATCAGCTTCCATGTTGACTGTTTCATTTGTGCAAATTTAAGTGACCTTTTGTTTTGCCACATTTTGTTAATTTCCACATACATATTTACGTTCGGGAAATTTGGAAATACTACGTTCTGGAAATTTGGTGTTGATGATTGCATGAAATTGACCGCATTCTAATTTTCTTTTTTTGTTGTTTTGTTACTTATGCCTTATTTATTCATTCCTTTGTTCTCACTTGAATGGGACTTTGGGTGAAAGACAAATAATGGCTGTACTCTTAGTTGAGTATTTAAAATGCAGAGATTGTAAAGGCAGGATGACCTAATTAAAAATACTATTGTTGGCTGGGTGCAGTAGCTCATGCCTGTAATCCCAGCACTTTGGGAGGCCAAGGCAGGTGAATCACTTGAGTTCAGGAATTTAAGACCAGCCTGGTCAATGTGGTGAAACCCAGTCTCTACTAAAAATATAAAAAATTACTTGGGTGTGGTGGCGGGTGCCTGTAATTCCAGCTACTCGGAAGGCTGAGGCAGGAGAGCCACTTGAACCCAGGAGGCAGAGGTTGCAGTGAGCCAAGATCACTGCACTCCAGCCTGGGCAACACAGAGCGAGACTGTGTCTCAAAAAAACAAAAGCTATTGTTATGGTTTACAAATGACGTGGCTTTCTATTGGGAGAGAGATACTTACTAATTGTTGAATTTCAGGAACTTCAGTGGCCAATATTTACTAATGGGCTGGAACAGATTTTGTCAACTTACCACAACATTTGGTGTGGTTTTGTTCTTTTGTTTCCTCCTTTTGTGGAACAGGAATGGTAACGTAGCCATGGGGTGCTGAGATATTTGGTTAAACATTATTCTGTGTGTGTCTGTGGGGGTGTTGCTGAATGAGATTATCAATGGAATTAGTGTAATTTATAAAGCAGATTGCTCTCCCTAATGTGAGTCGGCCTCATTCAATCAGGTGGGACCTGAATAGAACAAAACATTGAACTGGTAATGTAAGATGAAGTTCCTTTTGCCTGGACATCAGTCTTTTCTGGCTCTTGAACTCTCACTAAAACATTGACTCTTTAGATGTTAAGCCTGCCAGCTTTTTTTGTTTGTTTGTTTTTTTGAGATAGAGTCTCACTCTGTCACCCAGGCTGGAGTGCTGTGGCATGATCTCGGCTCACTGCAACCTTCACCTCTTGGGTTCAAGCAATTCTCGTACCTCAGCCTCTGAGTAGCTGGGATTACAAGCGAATGCCACTATGCCCGGCTAATTTTTGTATTTTTAGTAAAGATGGGGTTTCACCATGTTGGCCGGGCTGGTCTTGAACTCTGACCTCAGGTGATCTGCCTGCCTTGGTCTCCCAAAGTGTTGGGATTACAGGCGTGAGCCATCATGCCCGGCATGAGCCTGCTAGCTTTTGGACTGTTACGTATACCACTAACTCTACTGGTTCTCAGACTTTTGCACGTAGACTGGAACTACACGTGGACTCCCCTGGGTCTCCAGCTTGCAGATGGCAGATCATGGGACCTGTCAGTCTACATAGTTGCATAAGCCAATATATAAATACCCTATCTGTGTATCAATCATTATATATCTGTCATTATCCAACTATATGTCTATCATTATTTGTGATATCATTATATATCTATCATTATTTGTCTATCAATCATTATCTATATATCTATCATTATTAGTGTTGATTATTTTTTTTTCTGGAGAACCCTGACTACTATAGCTTCCATGTTCCTGTCTCAACTGTCACCAGTCCCCTTAGCACAGGGCCTATCATAGCCATTCTACGGCCCAAGGAATTACAAGCCACATAACTACAGGAGTCACAGTGACCCAAGGATTTAGACGGAGACACGGAAGAATTGAGGCATCTATTGGTCTCTGCATATTTTGGGATTTGGGATTTCCCAGCAGGGAAATTTGCCTTGAATCTGTCTAACTGGTCACTAAGAGTTGATTGGTAGGTTCCATTCTCCGTGCACAGCATAAACCCTAATAAGCCCAAACTGACTGGCAGTGGAGACTCTCAACCCTCAATGGGACCAAACTGTGACTGGCAGTGGAGACTCTCAACCCTCAATGGGACCAAACTGTGACTGGCAGTGGGGACCTTCAACCCTCAGTGGGACCGAACTGTGACTGGCAGTGGGGACCTTCAACTCTCAGTGGGACTTTACAGCACTCAGCTGCACCTGTGTGGAGAATTTGTCTCAAACACCTAAGAAGGAAGGAGGCCTTTGTTTCGAGGAAGAAGAAGGGGAGCTGCTTCTCTATCCACTGACCTCAGAGGTACCGGAGAGTGTCCAGTGAGGGCCTTAACTCTCTGCAGTATTTTTTTTTTTTTTGAGATGGAGTCTCACCCTGTCGCCCAGGCTGGAGTGCAATGGCAGGATCTCGGCTCACTGCAACCTCTGCCTCCCCAGTTCAAACGATTCTCCTGTCTCAGCCTCCTGAGTATCTCAGATTTACAGGCACCTGCCACCATGCCCAGCTATTTTTTGTATTTTTAGTAGAGACAGAGTTTCACCATGTTGGCCAGGCTGATCTCGAACTCCTGACCTCGTGATCTGCCCACCTCCGCCTCCCAAAGTGCTGGGATTATAGGCGTGAGCCACTGCACCCAGCCACTCTCTGCAGTTTTAAAGGCCATTTCCATGAATTAGAGTATACTTAGGCACTGAGGTAAGCATGGCACAGCTTTCTGAAAATAAAGTTGAAACTTAGAGGTTTCTTTTAGCTTTATTGAGATATGATTGACAAATGGAAATTGTATATATTTAAGGTGTATTACACTTGATGTTTTGATGTATGTATACATGGTGACATGATCATCATAGTCAAGCTAGTTATATCCATCATCTCGCAGGGTTATTGTTTTTTTTTTTTTTTTTTTTTTGAGAGGAAGTCTTACTCTGTCCCCCAGGCTAGAGTGCAGTGGTGCCATCTTGGCTCACTGCAACCTCCGCTCCCAGGTTCCAGCAATTCTCGTGCCTCAGCCTCCTGAGTAGCTGGGATTACAGGCTTGTGTCACCACGCCTGGCTAATGTTTGCATTTTTAGTAGAGACAGGGTTTCACCATGTTGGCCATGCTGGTCTTGAACTCCTGACCTCAAGTGATCTGCCCGTCTTGGCCTCCCAAAGTGCTGGGATTACAGGCGTGAGCCACCGCGCCCGGCCTATGGTTTCTTTTTCTTTCTTTCTTTTTTTTTTTTTTGTGGTGAGGACCCTTAAGATCTACTCTCCCAGCCGGGCGTGGTGGCTCATGCCTGTAATCCCAGTACTTTGGGAGGCCGAGGCAGGCGGATCACGAGGTCAGGAGATCGAGACCATCCTGGCTAACACAGTGAAACCCCGTCTCTACTAAAAATACAAAAAATTAGCAGGGCGTGGTGGCGGGCGCCTGTAGTCCCAGCTACTCGGGAGGCTGAGGCAGGAGAATGGCGTGAACCCAGGAGGCGGAGCTTGCGGTGAGCCGAGATCGCGCCACTGCACTCCAGCCTGGGTGACAGAGCAAGACTCCAGCTCAAAAAAAAAAAAAAAAAAAAAAAAAATCTACTCTCCCATGCTTGCCTCGGCAGCACATATACTAAAATTGGAACGATACAGAGAAAACTAGCATGGCCCCTGCGCAAGAATGACACGCAAATTCGTGAAGTGTTCCATATTTAAAAAAAAAAATCTACTTTCCTGGTAAATTTCAAGTATAGAGTACAGTATTGTCAACCATAGTGGCAAAGCTGTACAAGAGATCTTCAGACCCATTCCTCCTGAATACCTGATAGTTTGTATCCTTTGATCAACATCTCCCAATTCCCTCCCCCACACTGTCCCTGTAGTTCTAGTGAGTTCCCCAGACTCTGATGTCTCAATTTCATTCAGTCACTTTCCTCCAGATACATCTACCCATTCCTACTGCATCTTAGTATCCTGAGCCTTGGGGGCAGTTTCTGTGCCAAGTGGAAATGTGGAAATGAGATATTACGAAGAAAAATCTTTGCCCACCTAGACAGGGATCTGATGTTTTCCAAGATGACACATGATTACATGTTGAAATGATAATATTTTGAGTCTACTTGTATAATAAAATAATATTTTGGATCTATTAGGTTAATATTTTGGGTCTGTTGGGTTAATAATATTTTGGGTCCATTGGGTTAACTTAAATTAATTTTATCTGTTTCTTGTTAGCTTTTTAATTTGGATACTAGCAAGTTTGAAAGAATGCATGTGGTTTGCATTATGTTTCTATAGGACAGAACTTACCTGTAGATGTAAGGGAGTCACAACAAAATTACAAGCATTGTTTTTGGTGGAAATGAGAAAAATGATTACAAATTTACATGGAAAAGCAAATAGCCAATAATAATAATAATGGCAATCTTAAAGAGGAAGGAGAAATTAGAGGATTCAGGCTGCCAAATTTTAAGGGGTTCTATAAGGCCACATAAAGTGCAGCATCCTCATGAGAGTGGACACAGAGAGCCACTGAGCAGAAAAGAGTGTGTAAAATACATCTGTGTACACACAGTCCTTTTATAGTTGACAGAGGCTGCCATGCGGATTAAGGTGGAATAGAATGTCTTCTCAGTAAATAACATTGGACCAGAGGGTTACAAGCAGGAAAAAATAAATCTAAGCTTATTTTCACACCATAAAAACACTGCTAATTTTTTATCTTATTATCATACATTTTGATGATTTATTTATAAAATTGATGAATGAAAATTATATACAGTAGTCCTTCACTATTCATGGGTGATTGGTTCCAGGAAACCCCCCTCCCTACCAGACACCAAAATCTGCAGATGCTCAAGCCTGTTGCATGAAATGGCACAGCGTTTGCATATAACCCATGCACATCCTCCTGTATACATGAAATCATCTCTAGATTACTTATAATTCCTGATACAGCCTACACACCACCTCACTTGTGTCCACACAATATAGTATTTTTGCTTTTTGGAACTTTGTGGATTTTTTCTCTGAATATTTTTGATTTATATTTGGTTCAATAAACACCTGTAAACCCCACAGATATGGAGGAGCGACTGTATATTTATAGTATGAAAGATGATGTGTTGACATGTGTCCCTGTGGAGATGAGACTAACAAGGCCTATGACTCTACAAATGTTTCATCTTGGAATGACTCTGCCAGCTTTCCAGGTCTGCAGAGAGTAAGAATATCACTTGTTCATGTGATTCACGATCCTTGGAACCTCCTATGTGCTGCATCTTTGGATGGAAATTGGAGTCCCAGAGACAAATGAGGCTCCACCCTGCTTCCAGAAGCTCAGAGTCCAGGGCTGAGAACCCAGTAGAGAACATATCAGGTTATATGGACATAGTAATGATAACACTGGAAACTTTTGGCGAATAAAGAGTCACATTATCGAAACCATGAGGGCAGACATGTTTATTTGAAGAGGAGAGAGCTACACTGAAGTTATAAAAAAAATTTATAAATTTTACTGATGACAGAAGGCTGAAAGATAGTCTGAGGGGAGGTGGAACAGCATGAGGGAAGGTGGAACAGCAAGTGTGTAAGTGCCGTGTTAAGAGGGAGCCTCTTGCATGTTTGGAATTGTGAGTTCCTCAGTGTGATTGCAGCCTCAAGTAGGACTAGGAAGTAAGCCAGTTAGGTTGGAGAGGTGGGCAGGGGTCAAGTGAAATAGATACTTGTGGGCTAAGCAAAGGAGTGTGTTTTCTCTGCAGCAGGCAGTGGCGACCTTAGGCATTTGTAAGCAAGAGAGAGGCATGTTCAGATTCGTGGTGTGAGGAAGAGCGATCCCCTAAGATGCAGACTGATGCCTTCAGATTCCAGCTGCTGGTTCATTGGATCTGGCAACCTGGTTTTGAGACAGGGCTGTTGTCTCCCTAGAAAACCCCCTCAAGACCTGACTGTGGTGCTCGTGGGCAGGAGACAACTTTGGATCTGGGCTCAGCATTTGGAAGTTCCGTGTACACGCTGGTATCTGTTAGGGGTGTCTTGGGCCTCTGAGAAGGGCGACTGATTTTTCTCTGTATGAAAACGCAGTGATCCAACTGTGCGTACATCACCTCCTGAGGGTCTTGTTCATCAGAGTCCTGGAGAGAGGGAAATGCTGAGTGAGGGAGGGTGCTCACATTTTTCAGGACTATTAGGGATAAGACTGTATCCGTGAGGCTGGGCCGAGGAGGACCTACCTGCCTATTCACTGTTCTGTCCCCCGCAGGCTCTTGGTCCATTACAGCAGCATCTGTAGGAGACGGAAGTCATCAAAACCGCTTGGAGGGCCCTTCTGGGTCCTCATTTCATGGGCAGACACCAACCCACAGGGGGAGGCTGTAGGTGCCTGAGGCTCTTCAGCTGCCAACATCCAGACTCAGACATTCTATCTCTCTGAGTTCAAGACCCCATCCCATGAAGTGCTCTCAATTGGCATCCCATTGATTCTGTCTCCCACTTTCTGCCTGTCATGGAAGCTTCTGGATGTCAGTGGCTGCAGGGGATGTGAGGATACAGTTCAGAACCAGGCAATGGTCTGTGAGCTGAAGGCAGGGGCAGGTTGTCTGGTGCTCTCTCTAGAAAGCCCTGCCTCTGTGGCTCCTCCCTTGGGCCAGGGACCATCCTGCCAGTGAGGAACACACACCCGCGTGCTCCCATCCTGCTTCCCCACATGGCCCTGAGCTCTCTGGCCTCTGCTTCGTGAGACTTACTCTTTTTGTTGGAGCACCAGCGATAAAGGAGAAAGAAGAGGAGGAGGATGAAGAGGAAGATGACCACTGAGGTCCCAATCAGAACATGCAGGTGTCTGCAGATACCTGGAGGAAGATGGGAATCCAATAAGAAGCTAATCATAGCAGTTCCTCTTTATGGATTGTCTCATTTCTTGATTGACAGGTAACCACATGGAACATCTCCTTAGGACAAGCAGCCTGATGGCGGGAGACCCAGCTTTCTCCTGCTTTCTCAGTTACAGCTCTCATAGAAACCATAGAACATGCTGAGGATACAGCTGCTTTAGTTTAGATGTTTGACCCTTTGAAACCTCACACTGAAATATTGAAATTTAACCCCCAGTGTGGAAGTTTGGGCCTATGGGAAGGTGTTTGAGTCATGGAGGTGGATCCATCATGAATAGATTAATGCTGCCCCACATGATGGGGTTAGCAAGTTCCCCCTCTATTAGTTCCCGGAGGGCTGGTTGTTAAAAAGAGCTTGGAAGCTCCATCGCTCGCCCTCCCCCTTGCTCCCTCTCTTGCCATGTGATCTCTGTGGTCTCTGCACAGACAGACCCTCCTTCCCTTCTGCCAGAGTGGGAGCAGCCTGAGGCCGTCACAGGAAACAGATGCTGGTGCCATGCTTCCAGTACAGCCTGCAGAACTGTGAGGCAAACAAATCTGTTTTCTCTAGAAGTTGCCCAGGCTCTGGGATGCAAGGCTGGTTCAATATATGCAAATCAATAAATGTAATCCATCATATAAACAGAACCAAAGACAAAAACCGGACGATTATCTCAATAGATGCAGAAAAGGCCTTTGACAAAATTCAACAACACTTCATGCTAAAAACTCTCAATAAATTAGGCATTGATGGGACGTATCTCAAAATAATAAGAGCCATCTATAACAAACCCACAGCCAGTATCATACTGAATGGGCAAAAACTGGAAGCATTCCCTTTGAAAACTGGCACAAGACAGGGATGCCCTCTTTCACCACTCCTATTCAACATAGTGTTGGAAGTTCTGGCCAGGGCAATTAGGCAGGAGAAGGAAATAAAGGGTATTGAATTAGGAAAAGAGGAAGTCAAATTGTCCCTGTTTGCAGATGACATGATTGTATATCTAGAAAACCCCATTGTCTCAGCCCAAAATCTCCTTAAGCTGATAAGCAGCTTCTACAAAGTCTCAGGATACAGAATCAATGTACAAAAATCACAAGCATTCTTATACACCAATAACAGACAAACAGAGAGCCAAATCATGAGTGAACTCCCATTCACAATTGCTTCAAAGAGAATAAAATACCTAGGAATCCAACTTACAAGGGATATGAAGGACCTCTTCAAGGAGAACTACAAACCACTGCTCAATGAAATAAAAGAGGATACAAACAAATGGAAGAACATTCCATGCTCATGGGTAGGAAGAATCAAGATCGTGAAAATGGCCATACTGCCCAAGGTAATTTATAGATTCAATGCCATCCCCATCAAGCTACCAATGACTTTCTTCACAGAATTGGAAAAAACTACCTTAAAGTTCATATGGAATCAAAAAAGAGCCTGCATTGCCAAGTCAATCCTAAGCCAAAAGAACAAAGCTGGAGGCATCATGCTGCCTGACTTCAAACTATACTACAAGGCTACAGTAACCAAAACAGCATGGTACTGGTACCAAAACAGAGATATAGATCAATGGAACAGAATAGAGCCCTCAGAAATAATGCCACATATCTACAACTATGTGATCTTTGACACACCTGAGAAAAACAAGCAATGGGGAAAGGATTCCCTATTTAATAAATGGTGCTGGGAAAACTGGCTAGCCATAGGTAGAAAGCTGAAACTGGATCCCTTCCTTACACCTTATACAAAAATTAATTTGAGATGGATTAAAGACTTAAACGTTAGACCTAAAACCATAAAAACCCTAGAAGAAAACCTAGGCATTACCATTCAGGACATAGGCATGGACAAGGACTTCATGTCTAAAACACCAAAAGCAACGGCAACAAAAGCCAAAATTGACAAACGGGATCTAATTAAACTAAAGAGCTTCTGCACAGCAAAAGAAACTACCATCAGAGTGAACAGACAACCTACAAAATGGGAGAAAATTTTCGCAACCTACTCATCTGACAAAGGGCTAATATCCAGAATCTACAATGAACTCAAACAAATTTACAAGAAAAAAACAAACAATCCTATCAAAAAGTGGGCAAAGGACATGAACAGACACTTCTCAAAAGAAGACATTTATGCAGCCAAAAAACACATGAAAAAATGCTCACCATGACTGGCCATCAGAGAAATGCAAATCAAAACCACAATGAGATACCATCTCACACCAGTTAGAATGGCGATCATTAAAAAGTCGGGAAACAACAGGTGCTGGAGAGGATGTGGAGAAATAGGAACACTTTTACACTGTTGGTGGGACTGTAAACTAGTTCAACCATTGTGGAAGTCAGTGTGGCGATTCCTCAGGGATCTAGAGCTTGAAATACCATTTGACCCAGCCATCCCATTACTGGGTATAAACCCAAAGGACTATAAATCATGCTGCTATAAAGACACATGGACACGTATGTTTATTGTGGCACTATTCACAATAGCAAAGACTTGGAACCAACCCAAATGTCCAACAATGATAGACTGGATGAAGAAAATGTGGCACATATACACCATGGAATACTATGCAGCCATAAAAAATGATGAGTTCATGTCCTTTGCAGGGACATGGATGAAATTGGAAATCATCATTCTCAGTAGACTATCACAAGGACAAAAATCCAAACACTGCATGTTCTCACTTATAGGTGGGAATTGAACAATGAGAACACATGGACACAGGAAGGGGAACATCACACTCTGGGGACTGTTGTTGGGTGGGGGGAGGGGGGAGGGATAGCATTAGGAGATATACCTAATGCTAAATGACGAGTTGATGGGTGCAGCACACCAGCATGGCACATGTATACATATGTAACTAACCTGCACATTGTGCACATGTACCCTAAAACTTAAAGTATAATAATAATAAAAATTTAAAAAAAAAGCTCATCAGAAGCACTATACAAAAAAAAAAAAAAAAAAAGAAGTAACCCAGGCTCAAGTGTTCTTTTATAGCAACAAAAATGGACTAAGACAGCAACGTCCTGAGATCAGGAGGAACGTCTCAGAACAGCCTGTGCTGTCTTCCTGTTCTTCCTGGAGGAGGACGTCATGCAGTGCTTTAGCTGAGTGCTTCCTGTGGCTTCAGGGTACGAAACCCAGGCTGGGCTATTTTCTGGCTTCCCCCAGATACACTGCAAATGAGGTGACTCCATATGTCCCGAGAAGCTTTTCTGAGCCTTGAGGGACTGGCTCACATTGAAATGTAGGCTTCTGTTGTCACTCGCTGCTTATCTGTTAGTAATGAACCTGCCTATGTAACGTATTCTCTGTGTGTTCTGTCTCCCTGGAGTGACGGTGAGTGATAGAAATTTGCATAGGCCCAGGTGCAGTACAGCAGGTGTTTAGAGTCTTCTCTGGAAAGACTGAACTGGGATTGATACACAGTGAATGTGCTTTACAGTTTCTACATCCACAACCCTCTTGACTCAAATTACATTCTCCAAGAAAAGGACACAAAAGTGAAATCAAGATCAAAAAAGCAAAGTAGAATTCTCTTATGTCAAACAGCCAGGAAATAATGATGAAGCCCATGTGAAACGTGCTACTCTTTGTGATCTCGCGAGACACATGTTAGGCTGCTGTTCCACCTGAGAGGCTGGGGGAAAGACCACCCCCTCCACCATCTATTGCTTCAAAACCACCTGTCCTCCTGTGAATTAGTAGGAAAGGGGAGCAGGAGCTAGTGCTGGTGCTGATCTCTGATTCCAAGATCTGAACTCACTCCAAGGAGTATTAGCGTTTACCTCCCCATGATCTATCTGTATCTCCACAGGTGATTGGAAGTAGGGGTGAGGTGGGGGATTTGGGTGAGGGGGCAAGTTTCTTGTGATGAACAGAGCACTTTCCCTATTTCAGGGCCTGTGCTGGTGGGTTCAGGGGGCTTTCATATTTTCCATATGATCTCATGTTCACAGAAAGCCAAATATGGAAGAGGTTTTAGGCTGATTTTCTAATGGATAAGATAAAGGATCAAAGAAGTAATTATAGAGAAATAGAAAAATGATGATTGGAATTCAGGTGCCTGCATCATTTGTGTATATTATTATATTTATGTATTTTTTATTTTTATTTTTTGAGCCAGAGTATCCCTGTGTAGCCCAGGCTGGTGTGCAGTGACGCGATCTCCACTCACTGCAACCTCTGCCTCCAGGGCTGAAGTCATTCTCCTGCTTCCTCCTCCAGAGTAGCTGGGATTACAGTCATGCACCACCATCATGCCTGTTTAATTTTTGTATTTTTAGTAGAGATAGGGTTTCTCCATGTTGGCCAGGCTGGTCTCGAACTCCTGACTTCATGTGATCCACCCGCGTTGGCCTCCTGAAGTGCTGGGTTACAGGCGTGAGCCACCGTTCACAGCCTTGTATATTATGCTATACTAGGTCCCTTCATTTGCACCACCCCTCATCTAGCTCTCCCTCCTCTGCCAGGTATTGATTTAGATGCAGGAGAAATAAATCTCAGAAATAAGTTAGTGAAGCGAGGATTAAACTACCAGGAAAAAATCAAACCCAGCAAGCCTTTCCAGCCAATGATTCTACCTCACAAACATATCTTATATCCATCTACTTCATTCATTTAGTGTCTAAATCAGCACCACATTTCACCAGTGGGGCGGGAATTGCCTTTTCCACGGTCTCCTAGATTCCAGTTACGCACCTGGGCCTCCCTTATTTTCATGTCAGTCATATTAATCATGTAGGGATTCCTGGTTACCCCGAGGTGAGTCCAATGGCTGTGAGTGTCAAACACACACTCCTTGTTGCTCCTTAGTTTCCTGTGTACCCAGTGTGCTCTCCGTCTCTCTACAGTCGTCTTGTCATTCTCCCCACGTCATTCCCAGCATTTGAGGCAGAGCCTCTTCCTTCAACATCAGATTATTTTCACCTTTGTGCCTTCACGGCTGACAGCTGTGTGTGCAAAATCCTTCCGCCCATCTTTCAGGGGTTCAATCCGTGTTTTTCATTAATGTCACAAATATCTGATTAGTGAGAACTTCTCTGTCACCTGAAATCATACACTCAGCATTATCTATTATTGATTTGAAAATTTGGCTTGGCCCCGTGGCTCATGCCTCTTATCCCAGCGTGTTGGGAGGCAGAGGCTATTGGATCACCTGAGGTTGGGAATTTGAGACCAGCCTGGCCAACATGGTGAAACATCCTCTCTACAGAAAATATGCAAAAAGAGTTAGCCGGGCGTGGTGGTTGTGGTCTGTAATCCCAGCTACTGGAGAGGCTGAGGGAGGAGATCCGTTCAGCCCAGGAGGTGGAGGTTGCAGTGAGCCGAGATCATGCCACCGCACTCTAGCCTGGACGACAGAGCAAGGCTCCGTCTCAATAAACAAGTAGGTAAATACATAAATAAATAGATTTCATGCACAGATGCTTCTCAATAGATCATTCATTTATTGGTCCCCTTGTGCCTACATTTTCTGCCCTCCCATTTAACCATCTGCAAGATCAGTGTCCCAAGAACAGAGGCCAAATGCATCTTGTTCACTGTTTGTGGAAGGCAGGAGAATGTTGTCCCACCCCAAAAATGTCCATGTCCTAGCCTCCATAGCTTGTGAATATGTTATTTTACATGAAAGGAGGAATGAAGATTGCAGATGGAATTATGGTTGCTAGTCAGCTGAACTTAAAAGGAGGGTATCCTGGATGATTTCCGGGAGATTATGATGGATTTTCATCTTGGTGAACCCAATAGAATCCCCAAGTTTTCAAAAGAAGGGGAAGAAGGGAGAGCAGCATTCAGAGAAAGAGGTGTGGTAAGGAAGAAGGGTCTGAGTGATGCCATGTGAGATGTGACCAGTCTTTGTGGGCTTTGAGGAAGGAGGAAGGGTACCAGGAGCCAAGGAACATGGGAGCCTCTAGAAGCTGAGAAAAGTGAGAAGCAGATTCTTGCCTGGAACCCTCAGAGGGAAGGCAGCCTTGCTGTCACCTTGATTTTAGCCCAGTGACATGCACGTCATGCTTTGAGCTACAGCACTGTAAGATAATTAAATAACCGTTTTGTTTTCACCCACGAATCTTGTGGAAATTTGTTATGGCAACAATAGGAAAAGCTTCCACACTGCACAGCCTGAGCATGGGGCTGTGGCTGAATGAGTCAGTGAGTCGAAGTGTGCGTGCATGAGCTCTGTTCTCTGTTACGGCAAGGCTCTTGCTCTGCTGAGTCAGCCAGGGTTGCCTGATGACCAACAGTAATTCATTCCTTGGCAAGTGGAACTTCTCTAAAACACCCACCCTCATCAGATGTTCCCTTCCCTTCCCTCTCTCAAGCCCCCGGGAATTTATCCTCCAGTTAGGAATGCAGGCAGAAAAAACACTGCATTTTTCCTGAGAAGGATGTCAGATTGGCAATTATTCTTCTAGCTTGTAGGAGGTCTCACCTGCAGGAAATTAAAGGTAAAGAGACTTCGCTGAGCCCTTTGGTGGCCCTAGATCCCTTTCACTGTTGGAGTGTCTGGAGTTCAGAGATGGTGGAAGACAGGCCCTCATTCACAGAGCTGGGAGGTTTGAGCCAACACTTGCATCCAAGGCTTCCACCTCCCCAGGTTTCCAAAAGCAGAGATAAGAGGGGTCCTTTACTCACCAGATTTGGAGCTTGGTTCTGTGGGTGAAGGCCAACTACTTGAAGGGTTTCCTAGAACACGGGACAGGAGAGATGTGAGGAAATGAGGGTGCTTGTCCTCTACTCAATGGAAATCTTTGAGGTTGGTTCATGGCCAACACTCTGTTATCTAATGTTGGACCCTGGGAGTCTTGGGATCCTTTTCTCCATAATTTTTGTGTGCGATGCCCACTGTCTTGAGACTTGAAGGTATAAAGAGAAAACAGGAGCATCACACTACCTGACTTAGAAATATGTTACAGAGCTGTAGTAAGCAAAACAGCATGACATTGGCATAAAGAAAGGCACATAAAAAATGGAACAGAATGGAGAACACAGATATAATCCATGCATTTACATCCAATGGCTTTCTTTTGTGTGTGTGTGATGGAATCTTGCTCTGTCATGCAGGCTGGAGTGTAGAGGTGCAATCTCAGCTCAATGCAACCTCCACTTCCTGGATTCAAGAAATTCTCTTGCTTCAAACTCCTGAGTAGTGGTATTACAGGCACTGATCACCATGCTCAGCTAATTTTTGTATTTTTAGTAGAGACGAGGTTTCACTCTGTTGGCCAGCCTGGTCTTGAACTCCTGGCTTTAGGTGATCCACCCGCCTCGGCCTCCCAAAGTGCTGGAATTGCAGGTGTGAGCCACCATGCCCAGCCCATTTAATGGACTTTGACAAAGGTGCCGAGAACTTACAATCAAGAAAGGACAGTCTTCAATAAATGGTGTGGGGAAAACTGGATATCTACATGCAGAGGAATAAAACTGCATCTATACCTGTCACCTTACACAAAAATCAAATGAAAATGGATTAAAAACATGAGTCTAAGGCCTGAACCTATGAAACATGTAGAAGAAAATAATGGGGAAGACATTTGTCTGACGAAAGACATTTTGTTTAAAACCTTCAAAACACAAGTAATCAAAGCAAAAAATAGACCATTAGGATTACATCAAACCAAGCAACTTCTGCACCACCAAAGATAAACCAACAAAGTGAAGAGACAACCCACAAAATAGGAGCAAATATTTGCAAACTATTCATCTGAGATGGGATTAATAACTGGAAATATAAGAAGCTCAAACAACTCAATAAAACAATTTAATTAAAAAACGAGCAAAAGACATGAGGAGACATTTCTCCACAAACAAAACATAGAAATGGCGATCACGTATATGAAAAAGTGCTCAGCATCACTCATCATCACAGAAATGTAAATTACAATCGCGATGAGTTTTCATCTCATCCCATTAAAATGCCTTTTAGGCCGGTGGCTCACGCCTGTAATTCCAGCACTTTGGGAGGCGGAGGTGGGCGGATCACCTGAGGTCGGGAGACCAGCCTGACCAACATGGAGAAACTCCCTCTCTACTAAACATACAAAAATTAGCTAGGCGTGGTGGCACATGCCTGTAATCCCAGCTACTTTGGAGGCTGAGGCAGGAGAATCAGTTGAACGCGGGAGGCAGAGGTTGCAGTGAGCCGAGATCACACCCTTGCACTCCAGCCTGGGCGACTATGAGTGAAACTCCATCTCAACATAAATAAATAAATAAATAAATAAAGTAAAATGGCTTTTATCTGCAAGACAGGCAAAACAAATGCTGGCAAGATGGTAGAGAAAGGAGAACCCTGGTACCCTGTTGGTAGGAATGTAAATTAGTACAACTATTATGGAGAAAAGTATGGAAAAACTTTAAAAAACTAAAAGGAGGCTGGGCATAGTGGCTTATGCCTGTAACTTCAGCACTTTGGGAAACCGAGGCAGGCACCTCACTTGAGGTCAGGAGTTTGAGAGCAGCCTGCCCAAAATTGGGATATCCCGTCTGTGCTAAAAAATACAAGAATTAGTCAGGCATGGTGGCGTGCACCTGTAATCACAGCTATTAGGGAGGCTGAGTCAGGAGAATCGTTTGAACCTAGGAAGCAGAGGTTGCAATGAGCCAAGATCGCACCACTTTGACTCCAGCTTGGACTAAGGAGGGAAACTCTTTCTCAAAAAAGAAAAAAAAAAAAGAGAACTTTCATAGTGTCCAGCAATTTCACTACTGGGTTTATATCCAAAGGAAAGGACATCAGTGTATCGAAGTGATATCTGCACTCATATGACTGTTCCAGCACTGTTCACAGTAGCCAAGATGTGGAGTCAACCTACCTGCCTATCAGTGGGTGAATGGATAGAGAACTGTAGTACACACACACGGTGGAGACTACTCATCCATAGAAACAATAACATCCTGTCATTTGCAGCCACATGGATGGAACTGGAGGTCATTACAAAGATTCCCATTTCTCACCACATGCAGGAGATAAAAGGTGGATCTCATGAAGGTAGAGAATAGAATGGTGGATACCAGAGGCCAGGAAGGGAAGGGTGGAGGGTAACAAAAAAAAGAATATAGATGTATTTATTTATTTAGAAACAGAGTCTCTCTCTGTCTCCCAGGCTGCAGTGCAGTGGCATGATCTCGGCTCAGTGCAACCTCTGCCTCCTGGCTTTAAGTGCTTCTCCTGCCTCAGCCTCCCAAGTAGCTAGGACTACAGGTGCATGCCGGCATGCTTGGCTAATTTTTCTTGTCTGTTTAGTAAAGATGAATTTCCCGCATGTTGGCCAGGCTGATCTCGAGTCCCTGATCTTAAATGATCCACCTTTCTTGGCCTCTCAAAGCGCCAAGATTACAACCGTGAACCACCACACCCAGCATATAAAGGTATTTATGACCACTAGATTTTACTTTTAAAAATGGTAAAGTTGGTAAATTATATAGTTACATTTAACCTCAATAAATATTTTTGAAAATGAAAAGAAAAGAGTGTAGGGGTTGCTGGTGATGACATCTCTCTGTGTGGGTGAGAGGCCAGGATGGGCTTCTGGGAAATGGGTAAGGTTGAGGGGCTGAGGGAACCTCTGATCTCCCCAAACTGAGCCCAGTCTCCCCTTCTCTGGGTCTGTCCTGACCGCTTTCTCCATCTGCCTGGGTGCCTGGAGCCCTGACCATGGGCCTCCATGCAGGCCATGCAAGAGGGTTTGGAGGTGCCCTGTCTGCCATCCTGCACCCTGACCCCCCCTTCACACCCAGTCTTCGTGTTCTCTCTGCATCTGTCCATGCTTCTCCCCATCATCGGCAGGAAGCTCCTCAGCTATGGCTCTAGGATCATAAGACATGGGACAGACACGGGTTTTCCTCACCTGTGACAGAAACAAGCAGTGGGTCACTTGAGTTTGACCACACGCAGGGCAGGGCACGGAAAGAGCCGAAGCATCTGTAGGTCCCTCCGTGGGTGGCAGGGCCCAGAGGAAAGTCTGCCTGGAATGTTCTGTTGACCTTGGGCACTGCACGGAGCCTACGTTCATGGGCCTCCCCTTCCCTGGACAGATGGTAGATGTCATAGGAGCTCCAGGAGCTACAGGACAAGGTCACGTTCTCTCCTGCCTGAACCGTGGGGCCCGGCTGGGCTGAGAGAGAAGGTTTCTCATATAGACCTGGAAGGAGAAGAGGCAGTTTCCTCAGGGAGGTTCTTCCTTGTCACAGCTCCCCTCATACCTGAGCTGAGAACTCACTCCCCTGCTCTATGACCTAATGCTCTCTCTCTCTCTCACCCTCCACCCCAACTCTCTTCATGTCTATTTCCTCCTTCCGCCTTCTCTGTCTCTCTAGGTCTCTGACCTCACTTCCCCACCCCTGGGTATGCTTTCCCTTTTTGGATTGTTTTATTCTCTCTGACTCTCCTTGGATTGGTTGACTTGATCTTCCTTTTTCTATAATTCTGAGTCTCTCACTTTCTGTCTTGTTCATAACTTTCTGCATATTTCTATCTATTATCTATCTATCTATTTTGTGTCTATCTACAAATTATCTGTCATCTATATCTATGTATCATTTATCTATCAATTGTCTATCTGTCTATCCATCAATCATCTATGTATTATCTGTATCTATGTATCATCTCTCTCTCTCTCTATTACCTCTCTGTCTGCCTGTCAGTCTCTATGTATCATCTATGTATCTATATATTTATATATGTGTCTTCTATCTATCTATCTTCATCATCATCATCATCATCATCTCTATGTATCATCTATCAATCATCATCTATGTATCTATAACCTATCCATTATCTATCATCTACCTATTTATCATCTATCTATATCTATCTATCCATCTATCATCTGTCTCTCTCCATCTCCTTGTCTTTCTCTGCCTCTCAGTCTCTCTAGTTCTATTTGGAATCTCTGCAATCCATCCCCACATCTTTATCTTTCTCTGTCTTTGTGCCCCTCCCTCAGGGTTCTGATTTTGGGGCTTTTCTCTCCTCCCTTCCAGCATTCTCTCCACTCCTCTGCCCTCTTTTCTTTCTTTTTGTGTGTCTGTGAGTCTCTCAATCCCCTTCCTCTGGCTCATTCTCTGTGTGTTTATGCCTTTGCTTTTTGAAGTCCCTGATTTATCTCTGTGTCTCTCAGTGATCCTATTATATGTAGGATTATTTGGAATATGAGCCTCAGAATCTAGTCTGGGGACACCAAGTACACACAGTATTTAGGGGTTGGTGTTCTGGGGCCATGATATCCTGGGATAATTATGGCTCCACTGCATGGAAGGCAGAGGTGTCAGAATAAACATGGCATCTGTAGATGCCACAAGGCCTGAGGCCACAGGGCCCAACTCAGGTCAGAAATATGGGTGTCCTTGGGTTCTCCTCGTAGAAGCACTTTGTGGAGACAAAACAGAAATGAAACTTCTAACCTGTGCCAGGTCTCTGAGCAAAGTCAGCATGGAAGGACACTTCTCTCTGGCACATGTCTGTCTGTCTGAGTGTCTCCTTTACCTCTTTCTCTCTTTTCTACTTCCCCGTATGGCCCCTGTGTCTGTCCTCTGTTATGACACCTGGTCTGTACTTATGTCTCCTGTTTCCCTGTCTCTGTTGGTACAGACCTCACCGAGTCAGTCTCTCTCCATAAGAATCTCACGCTTATCTTCCTCATGACCACCTGGGGGTTCCAAGTCCTGGATCATTCACTCTGTGTCCCAATGACAATGAGAAGAATGTCTGGACACTCTCACCTGTGATCACGATGTCCAGGGGGTCACTGGGAGCTGACAACTGATAGGGGGAGTGAGGAACAGAACCATAACATCTGTAGGTTCCTGCAAGGACAGGCATCAAGGGACCGATGGAGAAGTTGGCCTTGGAGACCCCATCATGGATCTGTCCAACGAGGCGTGAGGGGTCCTCAGAGATCCCCTCTCTGTGCAGAAAGAAGTGCTCAAACATGACATCTGACCAACATTGCAGGATGACTGTCTCTCCTGATTTCAGCAGGGGCCCTGGGTGGGCCAGGAGGGAAGGTTTTCTGTGGTTTCCTAGAAAGAGAAGTTGTGAGTTTAGAAGGCATCTCTCTTTATCATCCCATCCATGGCACCTGGAATGAGTGAGGGTTCCCCTCCCAGAGGTCTGTCTCTCTCCTCCCTCTCTGTGTCTCCGTGTCTTTTCTGTGCCCATATCCCCTGGTGCAGGTCCCTCCATTTGTCTTCCTCCCTCTTCTCTGTCCCTCTGTCTCCAGTAGCCCCTGACTCCCTTCCCACTGTGAAGAGAGCCTCATCTCTTGGGCTGTTGTATCTCTTTCCCACTAGTCTCTTTCCTGCTGTCTATGTGGGGGTGGAAGAGGACAGGCTGCATGTCCAGGCTCTCAGCAGCCTGAATCAATCTCTTTTGAACAAATTGGAGTCTCTGGCAGAGGTATCAACTCATCAGTAAGGCAGACATCAGTGTCCACACACCCTGTTCCTGATGGGGATTGGGAGCCTCTCCTGCCATGTCTGTGCCTTCTCCATGGCCCCAGCTTCCATAGGGTGGTCCCTGGTGCTGGTTCCAGGAGCATCAACCCCTTCCTATGTGGATGGAGCCTGGTGGTGGCATCAGCATCCCACCCTTGCTGATCCCACGGTAGCCAACCTTCTCCTTGTTTGGTTTCTTTAATTAATTGATTAATTAATTTATTTTTGAGACAGTCACTTTTTCACCCAGGCTGGAGTGCAGTGGTGTTGTCTTGGCTCACTGCAACCTCTGCCTCCCCGGTTCAAGTGATTCTCTTGCCTCAGCCTCCCCAGTCGTTGGATTACTCGTGCCCACCACCACACCTGGCTATCCTTGTTTGGTTTCCTAGCTTGTCCTTGACCTGGGTTCCTGTGTCGGTTTCCTGTTGCTGCTGCAGAAAATTATCACAAACATGGCAGCAGGAGAGAACACACTGACCCCTTCCACTTCTGGGGACAGAAATTGGATCCAGTTCTCCCTGTGCTGAAATCAAGGCATCTGCAGGGCTGCGTTCCCTCTGGAGACTCAGCGAATCAGTTCTCTTGACTTCTCCAGCCCTTAGAGGCCACCTGCATTCTGTGACTAGTGGCCTTCCTCCACCTTCAAAGCCCACAGTGGCTGATAGCGTCTCCCTCCCACTACACTGCTCTAATCCCCACTCCCCTCTTCCTCCACCTCTCACGCGGACCCTTGTGATTACACTGAGCCCAGCAGGACAGTCCAGGCTGTCTCCCCATCTCAAGGTCAACTCATCAACAACCTGAGCTCCACCTTCCCCTTCAGTCCCCTGCCCTATAACATAAATAGTCACAGGCTCCAGGGTTTACAATGTAGCCATCATTGGCGACAGTTATTCTTCCCACCACAGCGCCCATTTCCCCTGTATTCAATCCCCCTTGACCCCAAATACAGTTGGGGCCTGGGTGATGGGACCCTGATGGACACCCCCACCAGAAGCTCTGGGATTCAGGAGGTGGGACAGTGAGAAGCCCAGACAGAAAGCCTCTGACCTGTGACCATGATCACCAGGGGGTTGCTGGGTGTCGACCACCCAGTGAGGGAGTGTGGGCGTGAACCCCGACATCTGTAGGTCCCTGCATGTGCTGGGGTCACAGGGCCCATGATGAAGCTCTCCTGGAATATTCTGCCGTGGAAGATGGGAACGTGGCTTCTGTCTTCTTTGTACAGCATGAAATTGTTAAACCCACGACGATAGTGACACTGAAGAGCCACGTGTCCTCCTCGAGGCACCACAGTGCTGGGCCGGGCAGACAGGAAGGGTTTGTCCTGACCACCTGGGGGAGAAGGAGGCACTGCCTTAGAGAGGAGGATGTGGAGCCACCCCTCCCTCCCTGTGCTCAGAAGATTCTCCCATTTCCACTTTCTAAGGCTCCTACCACACCTGGGTGCCCAGGGCTACAGGAAGGACCCACCCCACATAGACATGGCGTCTCCCTACAACAAGTGTCAGCTGAGAACTTTGAGCAAGTGCTGAATAAGTGACTCTTACTAGATTTTAATACTGCAAAATTACTCACATAAAACAACACAAAGTAGACACGGCATGGAGGGCATGTCCTATGTGAATGGAATATCAGCCAATTCATGAACTGAGCCCCCTCAGAGGATTTGGAATGTCAGGGCCATGGCTGTGGTTTCCCCCCTCTTCTGGTAGAAAGACCGCAGCCACACTGCAGTCCCTACCGTCACGGAAACGCTGGAGGGTGTCAGTTATACCTTTGTCCTCAGAGGACCTGCTGTTCCTAGCACTGCTTCCCTCTCTTTCTCTGCTGCTGACACCACTTCCTCCCTGCACACCCCAGCTTGGAGCACCCCAGTCTCACCCCAGTCTTCACAGAGCTTGACTCAGGAAAGGGAAAGAAAGGCCGGGGAGGGCGAGGTCAGAAATGTGGGCCGAGTATCCAAGGGTCCCCTCTTCCTAGTTTATGAGAGACTCCCCGACAGGACTTCCCTCCTGTTTCAGAAAAATCCTC
Organism: Homo sapiens; assembly: GCF_000001405.40. Classification (NCBI taxonomy): domain Eukaryota; kingdom Metazoa; phylum Chordata; class Mammalia; order Primates; family Hominidae; genus Homo; species Homo sapiens. The sequence continues at coordinate 221,534 of NT_187675.1, read as the reverse complement.
TTATGTGGGGAGATGACACCCTAAGGTTTGGGGAAGGACTCACCCATGAGTGGCCAGGCCCCCTGCAGCAAGAAGAACCCTGGAAAGAAAGATCATGATAGACGATCCAACTGCAGGCAAACCAGGGCACCCTGCTGCCCCCACTGCACTGTGTGTCTTGGCAGCCAGGCCCTTGCTGGGCTGAAGGTAAACTTAGCCTCCCTGCTACCTGCTGCCAAGAACAGGGCTCTCAGCTGTGGAGAGACCCAGGCTCCAGGCCCAGATCAACACTTCCTGGCCCAGATCTCCACTCCAGGCCCATATCTCCACTCCAGGCCCCTATCTCCACTCCAGGCCCATATCTCCACATCAGACCCATATCTCCACTCCAGGCCCATATCTCCACATCAGACCCATATCTCCACTCCAGGCCCAGATCTCCCCTCTAGGCCCATATCTCCACTCCAGGCCCATATCTCCACTCCAGGCCCATATCTCCACATCAGACCCATATCTCCACTCCAGGCCCATATCTCCACTCCAGGCCCAGATCTCCACCTGCAGGCCCATATCTCCACTCCAGGCCCATATCTCCACTCCAGGCCCGTATCTCCACTCCAGGCCCATATCTCCACACCCAGGCCCATATCTCCCCTCCAGGCCCATATCTCCACTCCAGGCCCATATTTACACCTCCAGGCCCATATCTCCACACCCAGGCCCATATCTCCACTCCAGGCCCATATCTCCACTCCAGGCCCATATCTTTACCTCTAGGCCGAGATCTCCATCCCCACTCTCCCTCCCTCTATTCCCTTCCAGGACTCACCAACGCACGCCATGCTGACGACAGTGAGCGACATGGTGCTGCCGGTGCAGACAGGAGGCCGCGCCCCAGCTCAGCTCAGCAGCGCACAGGATGTTATTTGGCGCCCTGCCCATGCAGTTTACATGTTGACCACATCATGGGAGGGTGACGTACGCAGGCTCTTTCTACCTTGCATGAGGCCCAGTGGGTGCTCGCTCAAGAGCGGAACATGGCTTCCTGGAAATTGTTGTGACTACAATTGCCACCTTGCATCCTTCACTATGACCAGACTCAAAAGACGTCTCAGATCCAACCTCTCACACATGAGGTGATTGAATTCTGTGCTTACATTAAAGACTTTTGATGTATTTTTGTTTTTATCTGAGATTCAAACTTTTCTTCATGTGTAATGTGCAAAATATCTAAGAGGTATTATTAACATTATCAGAGTAATTGTGACAAAAAGCCATTCTAATTTTCCTGATGAGTTTCTAGTACTAAACCTGAGGCACGAGAATTGCTTGAACCTGGGAGGCGGAGGCTGCAGTGAGCTGAGCTCAAGCCACTGAACTCCAGCTTGGGTGACAGAGGAAGAGTCTGTCTCAAGAAAGAAAAAAAAAAGCAAACTAAATAACCTATAATAACAAATCAGAGAACTCAGGTTACCAAATTTTAAGGGGTTCTATAAGTTTATATGAAATGCAGCATCCTCATGAGAGGGGATACAGAGAACCACTGGGCAGAAAACTGTGTCTAAAATACATCTGTGGATACACAGTCCCTTCATAGTTGACAAAGGCTGCCATGTAGTTTAAGGTGGAATAGAATATTTTCTCAATAAATAACACAGGACCATAGGGTTACACGTAGGAAAAAATAAATCTAAACTTATCCTCACACTATAAAAACACTTCTTATTTTTTATCTTGTTGTTGTAAACTTTTTATGCTTTATTTTTAAGATTGACAAATAAAAATTATATACTGTGGTCCTTCACTATTCCTGGGTGATTGGTTCCAGGATCCCCATTCAGATACCAAAATCTGCAGATGCTCAAGCCCCTTGCATGAAATGGCATAGCGAAGCTGGGCACCGTGGCTCACGCCTGTAATCCCAGCACTTTGGGAGGCTGAGTTGGGTAGATCACGAGGTCAGGAGTTCAAGACCAGCTGGTCCAACATTCTGAAACCCCATCTCTACTAAAAATACACACACAAAAAAATTTATCTGTGCATGGTGGCACGTGCCTGTAATCCTAGGGGAGGCTACTGGGGAGGCTGAGGGAAGACAATCGCTTGAACCTGGGAGGCGGAGGTTGCAGTGAGCTGAGATCATGCCACTGCACTCCAGCCTGGGTGAGAGAGTGAGACTGTCTCAAAAAAAAAAAATAGCATAGTAATTGCATAGAACCCATGCACATCCTCCTGTATACATGAAATCATCTCTTGATTACTTATAATTCCTGACACAGCCTACACGCCACTCAATTTGTGTCGATTCAACATAGTTTTTTGCTTCTTGAAACTTCGGGGATTTTTTTCTGAAAACATTTTTGATTTATTGTTGGTTCAATAAACACCTGTAAACCCCACAGATATGGAGGACCGACTGTATATTTATATTATGAAAGATGATATGTTGATATGTGTCCCCGTGGAGATGAGGCTAACAAGGCCTATGACTCTACAAATGTTTCATCGTGGAATGACTCTGCCAGCTTTCCAGGTCTGCAGAGAGTAAGAATATCACTTGTTCATGTGATTCACGATCCTTGGAGCCTCCTATGTGCTGTATCTTTGGATGGAAATTGGAGTCTCAGAGACAAATCAGGCTCCATTCTGCTTCCAGAAGCTCAGAGTCCAGGGCTGAGAACCCAATGGAGAACAGATGGGGTTATGTGGACATGGTAATGATAACACCGGAAGCCTTAGGCAAGAAAAGAGTCTCGTTACCGAAACCATGAGGGCAGACATGTTTATTTGAAGGCGGGAAAACTACATTGAAATTATTTAAAAAATTTATAAGTTTTACTGCTGGCAGAAGGCTGAAAGATAGTCTGAAGGGAGGTGGAACAGCACGTGTCTAAGTGCTGTGTTAAGAGGCAGCCTCTTGTATGTTTGGAATTGTGAGTTCCTCAGTGTGATTGCAGCCTCAGGTAGACTAGGAAGTAAGCCAGTTAGGTTGGAGAGGTGGGCAGGGGTCAAGTGAAATGGAGAATTGTGGGCTAAGCAAAGGAGTGTGTTTTCTCTCCAGCAGGCAGTGGGGACCTTAGACATTTGTAAGCAAGAGAGAGGCATGTTCAGATTCGTGGTGTGAGGAAGAGCGATGCCCTAAGATGAAGACTGATGCCTTCAGATTCCAGCTGCTGGTACATGGGAGCTGGCAACCCGGTTTTGAGACAGGGCTGTTGTCTCCCTAGAAGATCCCCTCAAGGCCTGACTGTGGTGCTCGTGGACAGAAGACAACTTTGGATCTGGGCTCAGCATTTGGAAGTTCTATGTACATGCTGGTATCTGTTGGGGGTGTCTTGGGCCTCTCAGAAGGGCGAGTGATTTTTCTCTGTGTGAAAACACAGTGATCCAATTATGCGTATGACACCTCCTGATGGTCTTGTTCATCAGAATCCTGGAGAGAGGGAAATGCTGAGTGAGGGAGGGTGCTCACATTTTTCAGGACTCTTTGGGAATAAGACTAGCCACGAGGCTGGGCCGAGGAGCACCTACCTCGCTGTTCACTGTTCTGTTCCCTGCAGGCTCTTGGTCCATTACAGCAGCATCTGTAGAAGACGGAAGTCAACAAAAGAGCTCGGAGGGCACTTCTGGGTCCTCATTTCATAAGCAGATACCAACAAACAGGGGGAGGCCATAGGTGCCTGAGGTCCCTCAGTTGCCAACAGCAGACTCAGACATTCTATCTCTCTGAGTTCAAGGACCCATCCCATGAATAGCTCTGAGGTCCCATCCCATTGATTCTATCTCCCACTTTCTGCCTGTCATGGAACCTTCTCCTGGATGTGAGTGGCTGCAGGGGACGTGAGGATACAGTTCAGAATCAGGCAATGGTCTGTGAGCTGAAGGCAGGGGAAGGGAATCTGGTGCTCTCTCTAGAAAGTCCTGCCTCTGTGGCTCCTGTCTTGGGCCAGGGACCATCCTGCTGGTGAGGAACACACATCCGCGTGCTCCCATCCTGCTTCCCCACATGGCCCTGAGCTCTCTGGCCTCTGCTTCGTGAGACTTACTTTTTTTGTCGGAGCACCAGCGATGAAGGAGAAAGAAGAGGAGGATGGTGAAAGGGATTTTGACCACTGAGGTCCCAATCAGAACATGTAGGTGTCTGGGGTTACCTGGAAGAAGAGGAGACACCAATAAGAAGCTAATCATAGCAGTTCCTCTTTATGAATTGTCTCGCATTTCTTGATTGGCAGGTAACCACATACAACGTCTCTTTAGGACAAGCACCCAAATGGCGGGAGACCTAGCTTTCCCCTGCTTTCTCAATTATAGCTCTCATAGTAACCATAGAACGTGCTGAGGATACAACTACTTTAGTTGAGATGTTTGACCCTTTCAAACCTCACATTGAAATTTCACCCCCATTGTGGGAGGTTGGGCCTCTTCAGAGGTGTTTGGGTCATGGAGGTGGATCCATCATGAACAGACCAATGCTGTCCCAAGGAGACGGGGTTAGCAAGTTCCCCCTCTGTTAGTTCCTGGAGAGCTGGTTGTTAAAAAGAGCTTGGAAGCTCCATCGCTCCCTCTCCCCCTTACTCTCTCTCTTGCCGTGTGATCTCTGCGGTCTCTGCACAGACAGACCCTCCTTCCCTTCTGCCAGAGTGGGAGCAGCCTGAGGCCATCACGAGAAATAGATTCTGGTGCCATGCTTCCAGTACAGCCTGCAGAACTGTGAGGCAAACCAATCTCTTTTCTTTAGAAGTTACCCAGGCTCAAGTGTTCCTTTAGAGCAACAAAAATGGACTAAGATAGCAACATCCTGAGATCAGGAGGAATGTCTCAGAACAGCCTGGGCTGTCTTCCTGTTCTTCCTGGAGGAGGACGTCATGCAGTGCTTTAGCTGAGTGCTTCCTGTGGCTCCAGGGTACAAAACCCAGGCTGGGCTGCTTTCTGGCTTCCCCCAGTTACACTGCAAATGGGGTGACTCCATATGTCCCGAGCAGCTTTTCTGAGCCTTGAGGGACTGGCTCACATTGAAATGCAGGCTTCTGTTGTCACTCACTGCTTATCTGTTAGTAATGAACCTGCCTATGTAACGTATTCTCTGTGTGTTCTGTCTCCCTGGAGTGACGGTGAGTGATAGGAATTGGCATAGGCCCAGGTGCAGTCCAGGATTTGTTTAGAGTCTTCTCTGGGAAGACTGCACTGGGATTGATACACAGCGAATGTGCTTTAGGATTTCTACATCCACAGCATTCTTGAGTCAAACAAATTGCATTCACCAAGGAAAGGAAACAAAGGTGAAATCACGATTAAAAATAGCGAAGCAAGATTCTCTTATGTCAAACAGCCAGAAAATAGTGTTGAAGCCCGTGTGAAATGTGCTGCTCTTTGTGATCTCGGGAGACACATGTTAGGCTGCTGTTCTACCCGAGAGGCTGGGGGAAGGACCACCCCCTCCACCATCTATTGCTTCAATACCACCTGTCCTCCTGTGAATTAGTAGGAAAGGGGAACAGGAGCTAGTGCTGTCGCTGATCTCTGATTCCAAGATCTGGACTCACTCCAAGGAGTATTAATGTTTCCTCCCCATGGTCTATCTGAATCTCCACAGGTGATTGGAAGTAGGGGTGAGGTGGGGGATTTGGGTGAGTGGGCAAGTTTTTTTTTGCGATGAACAGAGCACTTTCTCTATTCCAGGATCCGTGCTGGAGGATTCAGTGGGCTTTCACATTTTCTATGTGATCTCATGCTCACAGAAAGCCAAATAGGGAAGAGGTTTTAGGCTCATTGCCTAATGGATAAGATAAAGGATCAAAGAAGTAATTATAGAGAAATAGAAAAATGATGATTGGAATTCAGGTGCCTTTGTCATTCGTGTGTGTTTTATTATATTTATGCATTTCTTATTTTTATTTTTTGAGACGGAGTCTCCTTGTGTCACCCAGGCTGGAGTGCAGTGATGCAATCTCCACTCACTGCAACCTCCACCTCCTGGGTTGAAGTCATTCTCCTGCTTCATCCTCCAGAGTAGGAGCTGGGATTACAGGGATGCACCACCATGCTCGGCTAATTTTTGTATTTTTAGTACAGATAGGGTTTCACCATGTTGGCCAGGCTGGTCTGGAACTCCTGACTTCATGGAATCCACCCGCCTTGGCCTCCTGCAGTGCTGGGTTACAAGCGTGAGCCACCGTTCACAGACTTGTATATTACGCTATAATAGGTCTCTTCATTTCCACCACCCCTCATATATCTGTCACTCCTTTGCCAGGTATTGATTTATGTGTAGGATGAATAAATCTCAGAAAGAAATTAATTAAGCGAGGATTAAACAAGTAGGAAAATCAAACCCAGCAAGCCTTTCCAGCCAATGATTCTACCTCACAAGCATAGCTTATATCCATCTGCTTCATCCACTTAGTGTCAAAATCAGCACCACATTTCACCAGTGGGTCGGGAATTGCCTTTTCCACGGTCTCCTAGATTCCAGTTACGCCCCTGGGCCTCCTTTATTTTCATGTCAGTCATATTAATCATGTAGGGATTCCTGGTTACCCCGAGGTGAATCCAATGGCTGTGAGTGTCAAACACACACTCCTTGTTGCTCCTTAGTTTCCTGTGTACCCAGTGTGCTCTCCGTCTCTCCACAGTCGTCTTGTCATTCTCCCCACCTCATTCCCAGCATTTGAGGAAGAGCCTCTTCCTTCCACATCAGATTGTTTTCACCTTTGTGCCTTCACGGCTGACAGCTGTGTGTGCAAAATCCTTCCGCCAATCTTTCAGGGGTTCAATCCGTGTTTTTCATTAATGTCACAAATATCTGAATAGTGAGACCTTCTTTGTCACCTGAAATCATACACTCAGCATTATCTATTATTGATTTTGAATTCTGGCTGGGCACAGTGGCTCACGCCTGTAGTCCCATTACTTTGGCATGCTGAGACGGTCGGATCACTTGAGGTTGGGAGTTTCAGACAAGCTTGGCCAACGTGGTGAAACATCCTCTCTACAAAAAATATACAAAAAGAATTAGCCGGGCACGGTGGCAGTTGCCTGTAATCCCAGCTACTCGAGAGGCGGAGGCAGGAGAATCACTTGAATCCAGGAGAAGCAGGTTGCAGTGAGCCAAGATCGTGACACTGCACTGTAGCCTGGAAGACAGAGGGCAACTCTGTCTCAATAAACAAAAGAACAAACAAAAAATAGATTTCATGCACAGATGCTTCCCAATGGATCATTCATTTATAGATCCACTTGTGCATTCATTTTCTGCCCTCCCATTTAACCATCTGCAATATCAGTGTCCCAAGGGCAGAGGCCAAATGCATCTTGTTCACTGTTTGTGGAAGGCAGGAGAATGCTGTCCCACCCCAAAATGTCCCTGTCCTAGCCTCCATAGCTTGTGAATATGTTATTTTACATGGAAAGGAGGAATGAAGATTGCAGATGGAATTATGGTTACTAATCAGCTGAACTTAAAACAAGGGTATCCTGGATGATTTCCAGGAGATTATGAGGGATTTTCATCTTGGTGAACCCAATAGAATCCCCAAGTTTTCAAAAGATGAGGAAGAAGGGAGAGCAGCATTCAGAGAAAGAAGTGTGGTAAGGAAGAAGGCACTGAGTGATGCCATGTGAGATGTGACCAGTCTTTGTGGGCTTTGAGGAAGGAGGAAGGGGACCAGGAGCCAAGGAACTGGGAGCCTTTAGAAGCTGGGACAAGTGAGAAGCAGATTCGTGCCTGGAATCCTCAGAGGGAAGGCAGCCTTGCTGTCACCTTGATTTTAGCCCAGTAAGATGCACTTCCTACTTTGAGCTACAGCACTGTAAGATAATTAAAAAACCGTTTTGTTTTCACCCACGAATCTTGTGGAAATTTGTTATGGCAACAATAGGAAAAGGTTCCGCACTGCACAGCCTGAGCATGGGGCCGTGGCTGAATGAGTCAGTGAGTCGAAGTGTGTGTGCATGAGCTCTGTTCTCTGTTACGGCAAGGCTCTTGCTCTGCTGAGTCAGCCAGGGTTGCTTCATGACCTACAGGAGCTCATTCCTTGGCAAGTGGAACTTCTCTAAAACACCTCGCCCTCATCAGATGTTCCCTTCCCTTCCCTCTCTCAAGTCTCCAGGAATTTATCCTCCAGTTAGGAATGCAGGCAGAACAAACATTGCATTTTTCCTGAGAAGGATGTCAGATTGGCAATCATTCTTCTAGCTTGTAGGAGGTCTCAGCTCCATAAAATGAGAGATGAAGAGATTTCACTGAGCCCTGTGTTGGGCCCAGATCCCTTTCGCTGTAGGAGTATCTGGAGTTCGGAGATGGTGGAAGACAGGTGTACAATGTCAGAGCTGTGAGATGCTGAGTCAACGCCTGAATCCAAGGTTTCCACCTCCCCAGGTTTCCAAAAGCGGATATAAGAGGGTTCTGTACTCACCGGTTTCGGAGCTTGGTTCAGTGGGTGAAGGCCAACTATTTGAAGGGTTTCCTAGAACATGAGACAGGAGAGAGGTGAGGAAATGAGGGTTTCTGTCCTCCACTCAGTGGAAATCTTTGAGGATGGTTCATGGCCAACACTCTGTTATCTAATATTGGGCCCTGGGAGTCCTGGGATCCTTTTTTCCATAATTTTTTTATGTGACACCCACTGTCTTGAGACTTCAAGGTATAAAGAGAAAACAGGAGCATCACACTACCTGATCTCAAAATATGTTACAGAGCTGTAGTAAGCAAAATAGCATGACACTGGCATAAAGAAAGGCACATAGAACAACGGAGCAGAATGAATAACACAGATATATTCCATGCATTTACATCCAATGGTTTTTTATTTTTTCTTTTGAGATGGAGTCTTGCTCTGTCACTCAGGCTGGAGTGCAAAGGTGCAATCTCGGTTCACTGCAACCTCAGCCTCCTGGGTTCAATCATTCTCTTGCCTCAAACTCCTGAGTAGTGGTATTACAGGTGCTGACCACCATGCTCAGCTAATTTTTATATTTTTAGTGGAGATGATGTTTCATCACGTCGGCCAGACTAATCTTGAACTCCTGGCCTCAGGTGATCCACCCACCTCGGGCTCCCAAAGTGCTGAAATTGCAGGTGTTAGCCACCAAGCCCAGCCCATCCAATGGACTTTGACAAAGATGCCAAGAACTCACAATCAGGAAAGGACAGTCTTTTCAATAAACAGTGCAGGGAAACCTGGACATCTACATGCAGAGGAATGAAACTGCACCTCTACCTGTCACCATACACAAAAATCAAATGAAAATGGATTAAAGATGTGAGTCTAAGGCCTGAACCTATGAAACACGTAGAACAAAATATTGGGGAAATGCTCCAGGACATTTGTCTGAAGAAAGACATTTTGTTTTAAACCTTGAAAACACAAGTAATCGAAGCAAAAATAGACCATTGGGATTACCTCATACTAAGCAACTTCTGCACCGCTAAAAATAAACCAACAAAGTGAAGAGACAACCCACAGATTGGGAGCAAATATGTGCAAACTATGCATCTGAGATGGGATTAATAACTAGAAATATAAGAAGCTCAAACAACTCAATAAAACAAATGATTTAATTGAAAAAGGAGCAAAAGACATGAAATTTCCCCACATACGAAAAACTGCTCAGTATCACTCATCATCAGAGAAACGCAAATTAAATTCAAAGTGAGTTTTCATCTCACCCCATTAAAATGGCTTTTAGGCCGGGTGAGGTGGCTCACGTTTGTCATCCTAGAACTTTGAGAGCCTGAGGTGGGTGAATCTCATAAGGTCGGGAGTTTGAGACCAGTATGACCCACATAGAGAAACACTGTCTCTACTAAAAATACAAAAATTAGTCGGGCGTGGTGGCGTGTGCCTGTAATTCCAGCTACTCGGGAGGCTGAGGCAGGAGAATCGCTTGAACCTGGGAGGTGGAGGTTGTGGTGAGCCGAGATCGCGCCACTGCACTCCAGCCTGGGTGAGAAGAGCAAAACTCCATCTCAAAATAAAATGAAATAAAATAAAATGGCTTTTAGCTGCAAGACAGGCAAAAGAAATGCTGGCAAGGTGGTAGAGAAAGGAGAACCCTGGTACCCTGTTGGGAGGAGTGTAAATTAGTACAGCCATTACGGAGAAAAGTATGGAAGTCCTTTAAAGAACTAAAAAGAGGTTGGGTGCGGTGGATCATGCCTGTAATCCCGGCACTTTGGGAGACTGAGGCGGGCACCTCAGTTGAGGTCATGAGTTTGAGAGCAGCCCAGCCAACATGGGGAAACCCCATCTATACTAAAAAAACCAAAAAGTAGCCAGGCATGGTGGTGTGCACCTGTAATCCCAGCTACTAGGGAGGCTGAGGCAGGAAAATCATTTGAACCCAGGAGGCGTAGGTTGCAATGAGCCAAGGTCGCACCACTTTGACTCCAGCTTGGGCTAAGGAGGGAAACTCTTTCTCAAAAAAGAAAAAAAGAAAAAAAGAGAACTTTCATAGTATCCAGCAATTTCACTACTGGGTTTATATCCAAAGGAAAGTAAATCAATATATCGAAGTGATATCTGCACTCGTATGATTGGTGCAGCACTGTTCACAGTAGCCAAGATGAGGAGTCAACCTACCTGCCCATCAGTGGGTAAATGGATAGAGAGAATGTAGTACATACGCATAGTGGAGACTACTCATCCATAGAAAGAATAACATCCTGTCATTTGCAGCCACATGGATGGAACTGGAGGTCATTACAAAGATTCCCATTTCTCACCCATATACAGGAGCTAAAAGGTGGATCTCATGAAGGTAGAGAGTAGAATGGTGGCTACTGGAGGACAGGAAGAAAAGGGTGGAGGGTAAAAAAAATGTATATATATATATATGTATATAAATGTATTTATGACCACTAGACTTTACACTTAAAAATGGTAAATGTGGCTGGGCGCGGTGGCCCATGCCTGTAATCCCAGCACTTTGGGAGGCAGATGCGGGTGGATCACTTGGTCAGGAGTTCGAGACCAGCTCGACCAACATGGTGAAACCACCTCCCTACTAAAAATACAAAAAGTAGCCTGGCGTGGTGGTGCGTGCCTGTAGCACCAGCTACTCAGGTGGCTGAGGCAGGAGAATCGCTTGAACCCAGGAGGTGGAGGTTGCAGTGAGCTGAGATTGTGCCACTGCACTCCAGCATAGGGGACACAGCTAGACTCCACCTCAAAAAAAAATGTTAAAAGTGGTAAGCTATATAGGTATATTTATCCTCAATAAATATTTCTTCAAAGAAAAGTAAAGGGTGTAGGGGTTGCTGGTGATGACATCTCTGTGTGGGTGAGAGGCCAGGATGGGCTTCTGGGAAATGGGTAAGGTTGAGGGGCTGAGGGAACCTCTGATCTCCCCAAACTGAGCCCAGTCTCCCTCCTCTGGGTCTCTCCTGACCGCTTTCTCCATCTGCCTGGGTGCCTGGAGCCCTGGCCGTGGGCCTCCATGCAGGCCATGTAGGAGGGTTTGGAGGTGCCCTGTCGGCCATCCTGTGCCCTGATCCCTCCCTCACACCGAGGCTGCGTCTTCTCTCTGCATCTGTCCATGCTTCTCTCCATCATCAGCAGGAAGCTCCTCAGCTAAGGCTCTAGGATCATAGGACATGGGACAGCCATGGGCTTTCCTCACCTGTGACAGAAACAAGCAGTGGGTCACTTGACTTTGACCACTCGTATGGAGAGTCACGGAAAGAGCCGAAGCATCTGTAGGTCCCTCCATGGGTGGCAGGGCCCAGAGGAAAGTTGGCCTGGAATGTTCCGTTGACCTTGGTCCCTGCAGGGAGCCTACGTTCATGGGCCTCCCCTTCCCTGGATAGATGGTACATGTCATAGGAGCTCCGGGAGCTGCAGGACAAGGTCACATTCTCTCCTGCCAGAACCGTGGGGCCCGGCTGGGCTGAGAGAGAAGGTTTCTCATATAGACCTGGAAGGAGAAGAGGCAGTTTCCTCAGGGAGGATCTTCCTTGTCACAGCTCCCTTCACCTGAGCTGAGAACTCACTCCCCTGCTCTATGACCTAATGCTCTCTCTCTCTCTCTCTCACCCTCTACCCCATCGCTCTTCATGTCTATTTCCTCCTTCCACCTTCTCTGTCTCTTTAGGTCTCTGACCTCACTTCCCCACCTCTAGATATGTTTTCTCTTTTTGGATTGTTTTATTCTCTCTGACTCTCCTTGGATTGGTTGACTTGATGTTACTTTTTTTAATTCTGAGTTTCTCACTTTGTGTCCTGTTCATAACTTTCTGCATATTTCTATCTATTATCTATCGATCTATCTATTTATCTATTCGGTGCCTATCTACAAATTCTCTACCTGTCATCTATATCTATATATCATCTATTTATCCATCAATTGTCTATCTATCCATCAATCATCTATTATCTATATCTATGTATCATCTCTCTCTCTCTATGATTTCTCTATGTCTGCCTCTGTATCTCTATGTATTATCTATCTATCTGTCTTCATCATCATCATCTCTATGTCTCATCTATTAATGAATCAATCAATCATCATCTATGTATCTATAACCTATTATCTATCATCTACCTATTTATCATCTATCTATATCTATCCATCTATCATCTGTCTTGCTCTGCCTCTCGGTCTCTCTAGTTCTCTTTGGAATCTCTGCAATTCATCCCCACATCTCCATCTTTCAATGTCCTTGTGCCTCTCCCTCAGGAGTCTAATTTTAGTGCTTTTCTCTGCTCCCTTCCATCATTCTCACTTCTCTGCCCTCTTTTCTCTTTATGTGTCTGTGAGTCTCTCAATCTCCTTCCTCTGGCTCATTCTCTGTGTGTTTATGTCTTTGCTTTTTGGTGTCCCTGATTTCTCTCTGTGCCTCTCACTGATCCTCTCATAAGTGGGCTTATTTGGAATATGAGCCTCAGAATCCAGTCTGGAGACTACAAGTTCACACAGCATACAGGGGTTGGTGTTGTGGGGCCATGATATCCTGGGACGATTACTCTCCATTACATGGAAGGCAGAGGTGTCAGAATAAACATGGCATCTGTAGGTGCCACAAGGCCTGAGGCCACAGGGCCCAACTCAGGTCAGAAATATGGGTGTCCTTGGGTTCTCCTGGTAGAGAACACTTTGTGGAGGTAAAACAGAAATGAAACTTCTAACCTGTGCCAGGTCTCTGAGCAAAGTCAGCATGGAGGGACACCTCTCTCTGGGACATGTCTGTCTGTGTGTTTCCTTTAACTCTTTCTGTCTTTTCAAACTCCCGGTATGGCCCCTGTGTCTGTTCTCTGTTATGACACCTGGTCTCTACTTGTGTCTCCTGTTTCTCTGTCTCTGTTGGCACAGACCTCACCAAGTCAGTCTCTCTCCATAAGAATACCAAGCTCATCTTCCTTACAGCCACCTGGGCCTCCAAGTCCTGGATCATTCACTCTGCATCCCAATGACAATGAGAAGAAAGTCTGGACACTCTCACCTATGATCACGATGTCCAGAGGGTCACTGGGAGCTGACAACTGATAGGGGGAGTGAGTAACAGAACCGTAGCATCTGTAGGTCCCTGCCAGGTCTTGCTTCATGCGACTGATGGAGAAGTTGGCCTTGGAGACCCCATCATGGTGTTCTCCAATGAGGCGCAAAGTGTCGTTAAACATCCCCTCTCTGTGCAGAAGGAAGTGTTCAAACATGACATCTGACCAACATTGCAGGATGACTGTCTCTTCTGATTTCACCAGGCGACCTGGGTGGGCCAGGAGGGAAGGTTTTCTGTGGACTCCTAGGAAGAGAGGTTGTGAGTTTAGAAGGTGTCTCTCTTTATCATCCCATCCATGGCACCTGGATTGAGTCAGGCTTCCCCTTCCTGGTGTCTTATCTCTCTCCTTCCTCTCTGTGTCTTCATGTTCTTTTCTGTGCCCATAACTCCTGGTGCAGGTCCTTCCATCTGTCTCCCTCACTCTTCTCTGTCCCTCTGTCTCTAGTAGCCTCTGATTCCCTTGCCGCTGGGCTCAGCCTCATCTCTTGGGCTGTTGTATCTATTTCGAACTAATGTCTTTCCTGCTGTCTGTGTGGGGGTGGAAGAGGAACCAGGATAGGCTGCACATCCAGGCTCTTAGCAGCCTGGTTCAATCTCTTTTGGACGAATTGGAATCCTTGGCAGGAGGTATGAACTGATCAGTAAGGCAGGCACCAGTGGCCACACACCCTGTTCCTGGTAGGGACTGGGAGACACTCTTGCCATGCCAGTGCCAGCTTCCATAGCCTGGCTCCTGGTGCTGGTTGGAGGAGTATCAACCGCTCCCTATGTGGATGGAGCCTGGTGGTGGCATCATCATCCGAGCCTTGCTGATCTCAGTGTAGCCAACCTTCTCCTTGTTTGGTTTCTTTAATTAATTAATTAATTTTGGCGACAGAGTCTCACTCCTTTGCCCAGGCTGGAGTGAAGTGGTGTGGTCTAGGCTTACTGCAACCTCTGTCTCCTGGGTTCAAGTGATTCTCCTGCCCTCAGCCTCCCAAGTCGCTAGGATTACATGCACCTGCCACCATGCCTGGCTATCCTTGTGTTGTTTCTTAACTTGTCCTTGACCTGGGTTCCAGTGTTGGTTTCCTGTTGCTGCTGTAGAAAATTATCAGAAGCATGGCAGCAGGAGAGAGCACACTAACCCCTTCCAATTCTGGAGACAGAAATCGGACCCTGTTTGTCGTGGGTAAAATCAAGGTACCTGCAGGGCTTCGTTCCCTCTGGAGACTCAGGAGAATCAGTTCCTTGACTTTTCCAGCCTCTATAGGCCACCTGCATTCATGGCTCCTGGACTTCCTCCACCTTCAAAGCTGATGGAGACTCCCATTATGCTGCTGTAATCCCCACTCCCCTCTTCCTCCTCCTTTCCTGTGGACCCCTGTGACTACACTGAGCCCATCAGGACAGTCCAGGTTGTCTCCCCATCTCAAGGTCAACTCATCAACAACCTGAGCTCCATCTTCTCCTTCAGTCCCTTCCCCTATATCATAAATAGTCACAGACTCCAGGGATTAGAATGTAGTCATCACTGGGGACAATTATTCTTCCCACCACAGCACCCATTTCCCTGTATTCAATCCCCCTTTACCCCAAATACAGTCAGGACTTGCATGATGGGACCCGCAAGGACACGCCCACCAGGAGCTCTGGGATTCAGGAGGTGGGACAAGGAGAATCCCAGACAGGAGCCCTCTGACCTGTGACCGTGATCTCCAGGGGGTTGCTGGGTGCCGACCACCCACTGGGGTAGTGTGGTTGTGAACCCCGACATGTATAGGTCCCTGCGTGTGCTGGGGTCACAGGGCCCATGAAAAGGCTGTTCCAGAATATTATGTTGTAGAGCTCAGGGACAGGCACCCCATCTTCCTTTTACAGACTGAAGTTGTTAAACCCAAGATAAGAATGACACTGAAGAATCACATATCCTGGAGGCACCACAGGGCTTGGCCAGGCAGACAGCAAGGGCTTGTCCTGACCACCGTGGGGAGAAGGAGGCACCGCCTTAGAGAGGAGGATGTGGAGCCGCCCCTCCCTCCCTGTGCTCTGAAGATTCTCCTCGCTTTCCAAGTTTCTATGGCTGCTATCACACCTTGGTGCCCAGGGCTAAAGGAAGAACCCATCCCGCAAACACAAGGTGTCTCCCTACAACAAAAGTGTCAGCTGAGAACTTTGAGCAAGTGCTGAGTAAGAGACTCCTACTAGATTTTAATACTGTAAGATTACTCACATAAAACAACACAGGGTAGACATGGGGTGGAGGGCATGTCCTTTGAGAATGGAATATCAGCCGATGCCTGAACGAAAATAAACAACTGAGTCCCCATCAGAGGATTGGAATGTCAGGGCCATGGCTGTGGTTTTCCCACCTCTTCTGGTAGAATGACAGCAGCCACACTGCAGCCCCTACCGTCATGGAAACGCTGAAGTGTGTGAGTAACACCTTTGTCCTCAGAGGATCTGCTGTTCCTACCACTTCCCCACCACACACCCCAGCTTTGAGCACCGTAGTCTAACCCTGGTCCCCACAGAACTTGACTCTGCCAAGGGAATGAAAGGCCAGGGAGGCAAGGTCAGAAATGTGGGCCCAGCACCCCAGGGTCCCTTCTTCCTAGTTTATGAGAGACTCCCTGACAGGACTTCCCTCCCATTTCAGGAAAATCCTCTTATGTGGGGAGATGACACCCGAAGGTTTGGAGAAGGACTCACCCTCATGTGGCCAGGCCCCCTGCAGCAAGAAGAACCCTGGAAAGAAAGATCATGATGGATGACCCATCTGCAGGCAAACCAGGGCACCCTTGCTGCCCCCACTGGGCTGTGAGTCTTGGTAGCCAGGCCCTTCCTGGGCTGAAGGTAAACTCACCCTCAGTGCCTACCTGCACCCAAGAACAGGGCTGTCGGCTGTGCAGAGACCCAGCCTCCAGGTCCATATCCCCACCTCAAGCCCATATCTCCACTCCAGGCCCATATCTCCACTCCAGGCCGATATTTCCACCCTAAGCCCATATCGCCAATCCAGGCCCATATCTCCAATCCAGGCTCAGATCTCCACCCTGGGCCCATATCTCCAATCCAGGCCCTTATCTCCACTCCAGGTCCATATCTCCTCTCCAGTCCCATATCTCCACTCCAGGCCCATATATCCTCTCCAGTCCCATATCTCCACACCCAGGCCCGTATCTCCATCCTAGGCACATATCTCCTCTCCAGGCCCAGATATCGACCTCTAGGCCCATATCTCCACTCCTGGCCCATATCTCCACTCCAGGCCCAGATATCGACCTCTAGGCCCATATCTCCACTCCTGGCCCATATCTCCACTCCAGGCCCATGTCTCCACTTCAGGCCCATATCTCTACTGCAGGCCCGTAACTCCACCTCCAGGCCCATGACTCCACTCCAGGCCCATATCTCCACCTCCAGGCCCATATCTCCCCTCCAGGTTCCTATCTCCCCTCCAGGTTCCTATCTCCACTCCAGGCCCAGATCTCCACTACAGTCCCATCACTCCACCTCCAGGCCTATATCTCGACCTCTGGGCCCAGATCTCCACTTCTAGGCCCATCACTCCATCTCTAGGCCCATATATCCACTCCAGGCCCAGATCTCCACTCCAGGCCCACAACTCCACCTCCAGGCCTATATATCCACCTCTGGGCCCAGATCTCCAACCCCACACTCCCTTCCTCTATTCCCTTCCAGGACTCACCAACACACGCCATGCTGACGACCGTGAGCGACATGGTGCTGCCGGTGCAGACAGGCGGCCGCGCCCCAGCTCAGCTCAGCAGCGCACAGGATGTTATTTGGCGCCCTGCCCATGCAGTTTACATGTTGACCACATCATGGGAGGGTGACGTACGCAGGCTCTTTCTACCTTGCATGAGGCCCAGTGGTTGCTCGCTCAAGAGCGGAACACGGCTTCCTGGAAATTGTTCTCACTAGAATTTACACCTAGCGTCCTTCACTATGACCAACTCAAAACACGTCTCAGATCCAACCTCCTGAACACGAGATGCCTAAAATCTGTGCTAACGTGAAAGACTTTTCATGTATTTTTATTGTTTTTATCTGAGATTCAAACTCTTCTTCCTGTGTAATATGCAAAATATCTAATAGGTATTATTAAGGTTTTCAGAGTCATTGTGACTAATAAACCATTAGAATTTTTCATGCTTGTATTTCTAGTATTACAGCAGAACCAGTTAAAATGATTTAAATTCCCAGGGAAGGATTATGCAATTATTTACAATCTTTGAATTGTACGTTATCAGCAAAAACCACACATTTAAACTCTGGATTTTTGTAGATTTATCTAAAATTTGTCTCATGACCCAAGTTTCCAGAGTCCCAACTCTGGAGTTTGCTCTCTCTCTGTCTCTCTCCCTCCCTCATTTTAAATTTTACAGAAATATCCAGTAACATAATGCTATAGAAAATCAAGTTTCCCCCAGCACGTCGGGAAGCCGAGGTGGGCGGATCAACTGATATAAGGAGTTTGAGAGCAGCCTGGCAACACAGTGAAACCGTGTCTCTGCTAAAAATCCAAAAATTAGCCGTGCCCAGTGGCAGGAACTTGTAACACCAGCTACCCAAGAGGCTGAGGCACGAGAATCGCTTGAACCTGGGAGGCGGAGGTTGCAGTGAGCTGAGATTGCACCACTGCAGTCCAGCCTGGGCGACAGAGCAAGACTCCGCCTCAAGAAAATAAAAATAGCAAATAGCCTATAATAACAAATTAGAGGCCTCTGGCTACTAAATTTAAAGGGTTCTATGGGGCTACATAAAGTGGAGCATCCTCAAGAATGTGGACACAGAGAGCCGTTTAGCAGAGACAGTGTCTAAAATACACATCCGTGTACACACAGTCCCTTTTTAGTTGACAAAGGCTGCCGTGTGGTTTAAGGTGGCATAGAATGTCTTCTCAATAAATAATATTAAACCAAAGGGTTACACATAGGAAATAATAAATCTAAACTTATTCTCACACTATAAAAACACTTCTTAGTTTTTATCTAGTTATTGTACATTTTTTATGATTTATATTTAAATTTGAGAAATAAAAGTCCTATACCGTCATCCTTCACTATTCATGGGTGATTGGTTTCAGGATCTCCACTCAGATACTAAAATCTGCAGATGCTCAAGCCTCTTACATAAAATGACACAGCATTTGGATATAACCCATGCACATCCTCCTGTATACATGAAATCATCTCTTGATTACTTATAATTCCTGATACAGCCTATACACCACCTCATTTGTGTGCATTCAACACAGTTTTGCTTTTTGGAACTTTGTGGGCTTTTTCTCTGAATATTTTTGATTTATACTTGGTTCAATAAACACCTGTAAACCCCACAGATACGGAGGAGCGACTGTATATTTATAGTATGAAAGATGATGCGTTGACATGTGTCCCCGTGGAGATGAGACTAACAAGGCCTATGACTCTACAAATGTTTCATCATGGAATGACTCTGCCAGCTTTCCAGGTCTGCAGAGAGTAAGAATATCACTTGTTCATGTGATTCACGATCCTTGGAACTTCCTATGTGCTGCATCTTTGGATGGAAATTGGAGTCTCAGAGACAAGTCAGGGTCCACCCTGTTCCAGAAGCTCAGAGTCCAGGGGTGAGAACCCAGTGGAGAACAGATGGGGTTATGTGGACATGGTAATGATAACACCAGAAGCCTTAGGCAAGAAAAGAGTCCCATTACCGAAACCATGAGGGCAGACATGTTTATTTGAAGGAGGGAAAACTACATTGAAATTACTAAAAACAATTTATAAGTTTTACTGCTGACAGAAGGCTGAAAGATAGTCTGAGGGGAGGTGGAACTGCATGAGAGAAGGTGGAACAGCACGTGTCTAAGTGCTGTGTTAAGAGGGAGCCTCTTGTATGTTTGGAATTGTGAGTTCCTCAGTGTGATTGCAGCCTCAAGTAGACTAGGAAGTAAGCCAGTTAGGTTGGAGAGGTGGGCAGGGGTCAAGTGAAATGGAGAATTGTGGGCTAAGCAAAGGAGTGTGTTTTCTCTCCAGCAGGCAGTGGGGACCTTAGACATTTGTAAGCAAGAGAGAGGCATGTTCAGATTCGTGGTTTGAGGAAGAGCGATCCCCTAAGATGAAGACTGATGCCTTCAGATTCCAGCTGCTGGTACATGGGAGCTGGCAACCCGGTTTTGAGACAGGGCTGTTGTCTCCCTAGAAGATCCCCTCAAGGCCTGACTGTGGTGCTCGTGGACAGAAGACAGCTTTGGATCTGGACTCAGCATTTGGAAGTTCTATGTACATGCTGGTATCTGTTGGGGGTGTCTTGGGCCTCTGAGAAGGGGGAGTGATTTTTCTCTGTGTGAAAACACAGTGATCCAATTATGCGTATGACACCTCCTGATGGTCCTGTTCATCAGAATCCTGGAGAGAGGGAAATGCTGAGTGAGGGAGGGTGCTCACATTTTTCAGGACTCTTTGGGAATAAGACTAGCCACGAGGCTGGGCCGAGGAGCACCTACCTCCCTGTTCACTGTTCTGTTCCCCGCAGGCCCTTGGTCCATTACAGATGCATCTGTAGAAGATGGAAGTCAACAAAACAGCTCGGAGGGCACTTCTGGGTCCTCATTTCATAAGCAGATACCAACAAACAGGGGGAGGCCATAGGTGCCTGAGGTCCCTCAGTTGCCAACAGCAGACTCAGACATTCTATCTCTCTGAGCTCAAGGACCCATCCCATGAATAGCTCTGAGTTCCCATCCCATTGATTCTATCTCCCACTTTCTGCCTGTCATGGAACCTTCTCCTGGATGTGAGTGGCTGCAGGGGACGTGAGGGTACAGTTCAGAATCAGGCAATGGTCTGTGAGCTGAAGGCAGGGGAAGGGAATCTGGTGCTCTCTCTAGAAAGTCCTGCCTCTGTGGCTCCTGCCTTGGGCCAGGGACCATCCTGCCTGTGAGGAACACACACCCGCGTGCTACCATCCTGCTTCCCCACATGGCCCTGAGCTCTCTGGCCTCTGCTTCGTGAGACTTACTTTTTTTGTTGGAGCACCAGCGATGAAGGAGAAAGAAGAGGAGGATGGTGAAAGGGAGTTTGACCACTGAGGTCCCAATCAGAACGTGTAGGTGTCTGGGGTTACCTGGAAGAAGAGGAGACACCAATAAGAAGCTAATCATAGCAGTTCCTCTTTATGAATTGTCTCGCATTTCTTGATTGACAGGTAACCACATACAACGTCTCTTTAGGACAAGCACCCAAATGGTGGGAGACCTAGCTTTCCCCTGCTTTCTCAATTATAGCTCTCATAGTAACCATAGAACGTGCTGAGGATACAACTACTTTAGTTGAGATGTCTGACCCCTTCAAACCTCACATGGAAATTTCACCCCCACTGTGGGAGGTTGGGCCTCTTGGGAGGTGTTTGGGTCATGGAGGTGGATCCATCATGAACAGAACAATGCTGTCCCAAGGAGACGGGGTTAGCAAGTTCCCCCTCTATTAGTTCCCGGAGAGCTGGTTGTTCAAAAGAGCTTGGAAGCTCCATCGCTCCCCCTCCCCCTTACTCTCTCTCTTGCCGTGTGATCTCTGCGGTCTCTGCACAGACAGACCCTCCTTCCCTTCTGCCAGAGTGGGAGCAGCCTGAGGCCGTCACAAGAAATAGATTCTGGTGCCATGCTTCCAGTACAGCCTGCAGAACGGTGAGGCAAACCGATCTCTTTTCTTTAGAAGTTACCGAGGCTCAAGTTTTCCTTTAGAGCAACAAAAAAAAACTACGACAGCAACGTCCTGAGATCAGGAGGAATGTCTCAGAACAGCCTGGGCTGTCTTCCTGTTCTTCCTGGAGGAAGGCGTCATGCAGTGCTTTAGCTGAGTGCTTCCTGTGGCTCCAGGGTACAAAACCCAGGCTGGGCTGCTTTCTGGCTTCCCCCAGCTACACTGCAAATGGGGTGACTCCATATGTCCCGAGCAGCTTTTCTGAGCCTTGAGGGACTGGCTCACATTGAAATGTAGGCTTCTGTTGTCACTCGCTGCTTATCTGTTAGTAATGAACCTGCCTGTGTAATGTATTCTCTGTGTGTTCTGTCTTCCTGGAGTGACGGTGAGTGATAGGAATTGGCATAGGCCCAGGTGCAGTCCAGGAGGTGTTTAGAGTCTTCTCTGGGAAGACTGCACTGGGATTGATACACAGCGAATGTGCTTTAGGATTTATACATCCACGGCATTCTTGAGTCAAACAACTTGCATTCTCCAAGAAAAGGAAACAAAAGTGAAATCAAGATAAAAAAAGCGAAGTAGAATTCTCTTATGTCAAATGGCCAGGAAATAGTGTTGAAGCCCATGTGAAACGTGCTACTCTTTGTGATCTCAGGAGACACATGTTAGGCTGCTGTTCTACCCCAGAGGCTGGGGGAAGGACCACACCCTCGGCCATCTATTGCTTCAATACCACCTGTCCTCCTGTGAATTAGTAGGAAAGGGGAGCAGGAGCTAGTGCTGACGCTGATCTCTGATTCCAAGATCTGGACTCACTCCAAGGAGTATTAGAATTTACCTCCCCATGGCCTATCTGAATCTCCACAGATGATTGGAAGTAGGGGTGAGGTGGGGGATTTGGGTGAGAGGGCATGTTTTTTTTGTGATGAACAGAGCACTTTGTGTATTCCAGGATCTGTGCTGGAGGATTCAGCGGGCTTTCACATTTTCTATATGATCTCATGCTCACAGAAAGCCAAATAGGGAAGAGGTTTTAGGCTCATTGCCTAATGGATAAGATAAAGGATCAAAGAAGTAATTATAGAGAAATAGAAAAATCATGATTGGAATTCAGGTCCCTTTGTCATTTGCGTGTGTTATATTATATTTATATTTATGCATTTCTTATTTTTATTTTTTGAGACGGAGTCTCCTTGTGTCACCCAGGCTGGAGTGCAGTGATGCAATCTCCACTCACTGCAAACTCCACCTCCTGGGTTGAAGTCATTCTCCTGCTTCATCCTCCAGAGTAGGAGCTGGCATTACAGGGATGCACCACCATGTTCGGCTAATTTTTGTGTTTTTCCTAGAGACAGGGTTTCACCATGTTGGCCAGGCTGGTCTCGAACTGCTGACTTCGTGTGATCCACCCGCCTTGGCCTCCTGCAGTGCTGGGTTACAGGCGTGAGCCACCGTTCACAGACTTGTATATTATGCTGTAATAGGTCCCTTCATTTCCACCACCCCTCATATATCTGTCACTCCTTTGCCAGGTATTGATTTATGTGTAGTAGGAATAAAGCTCAGAAAGAAATTAAGCGAGGATTAGACAACTAGGAAAATCATACCCAGCAAGCCTTTCCAGCCAATGATTCCACCTCACAAGCATATCTTATATCCATCTGCTTCACCCAGTTAGGGTCTAAATCAGCACCACATTTCACCAGTGAGGCGGGAATTGCCTTTTCCACGGTCTCCTAGATTCCAGTTACGCACCTGGGCCTCCCTTATTTTCATGTCAGTCACTATTAATCATGTAGGGATTCCTGGCTACCCCGAGGTGAATCCAATGGCTGTGAGTGTCAAACACACACTCCTTGTTGCTCCTTAGTTTCCTGTGTACCCAGTGTGCTCTCCGTCTCTCCACAGTCGTCTTGTCATTCTCCCCACGTCATTCCCAGCATTTGAGGAAGAGCCTCTTCCTTCAACATCAGATTATTTTCACCTTTGTGCGTTCACGGCTGACAGCTGTGTGTGGAAAATCCTTCCACCAATCTTTCAGGGGTTCAATCCGTGTTTTTCATTAATGTCACAAATATCTGATTAGTGAGATCTTCTCTGTCACCCAAAATCATACACTCAGCATTATGTATTATTTATTTTAAATTCTGGCTGGGCACAGTGGCTCACGCCAGTTATCCCAGTACTTTAGGATGCTGAGACGGTCGGATCACTTGAGGTTGGGAGTTTCAGAGAAGCTTGGCGAAGATGGTGAAACATCCTCTACAAAAAATATACAAAAAGAATTAGCCGGGCATGGTGGCAGTTGCCTGTAATCCCAGCTACTTGAGAGGCTGACGCAGGAGAATCACTTGGATCCAGAAGGTGCAGGTTGCAGTGAGCCAAGATGGTGACACTGCACTGTAGCCTGGAAGACAGAGGGCGACTCTGTCTCAATAAACAAATGAAGAAACAAACAAATAGATTTCATACACAGATGCTTCCCAATGGATCATTCATTTATTGGTCCACTTGTGCATTCATTTTCTGCCCTCCCATTTAACCATCTGCAATATCAGTGTCCCAAGAGCAGAGGCCAAATGCATCTTGTTCACTGTTTGTGGAAGGTAGGAGAATGCTGTCCCACCCCAAAATGTCCCTGTCCTAGCCTCCATAGCTTGTGAATATCTTATTTTACATGGAAAGGAGGAATGAAGATTGCAGATGGAATTATGGTTGCTAATCAGCTGAACTTAAAACAAGGGTATCCTGAATGATTTCCGGGAGATTATGATGGATTTTCATCTTGGTGAACCCAATAGAATCCCCAAGTTTTCAAAAGATGAGGAAGAAGGGAGAGCAGCATTCAGAGAAAGAGGTGTGGTAAGGAAGAAGGGTCTGAGTGATGCCATGTGAGATGTGACCAGCCTTTGTGGGCTTTGAGGAAGGAGGAAGGGGACCAGGAGCGAAGGAATGTGGGAGCCTCTAGAAGCTGAGAAAAGTGAGAAGCAGATTCTTGCCTGGAATCCTCAGAGGGAAGGCAGCCTTGCTGTCACCTTGATTTTAGCCCAGTGAGATGCACTTCATACTTTGAGCTACAGCACTGCAAGATAATTAAAAAACCGTTTTGTTTTCACCCACGAATCTTGTGGAAATTTGTTATGGCAACAATAGGAAAAGCTTCCACACTGCACAGCCTGAGCATGGGGCCGTGGCTGAATGAGTCAGTGAGTCGAAGTGTGCGTGCATGAGCTCTGTTCTCTGTTACAGCAAGGCTCTTTCTCTGCTGAGTCAGCCAGGGTTGCTTCATGACCTATAGGAGCTCATTCCTTGGCAAGTGGAACTTCTCTAAAACACCTCGCCCTCATCAGATGTTCCCTTCCCTTCCCTCTCTCAAGTCTCCAGGAATTTATCCTCCAGTTAGGAATGCAGGCAGAACAAACATTGCATTTTTCCTGAGAAGGATGTCAGATTGGCAATCATTCTTCTAGCTTGTAGGAGGTCTCAGCTCCATAAAATGAGAGATGAAGAGATTTCACTGAGCCCTGTGTTGGGCCCAGATCCCTTTCGCTGTAGGAGTATCTGGAGTTCGGAGATGGTGGAAGACAGGGGTACAATGTCAGAGCTGTGAGATGCTGAGTCAACGCCTGAATCCAAGGTTTCCACCTCCCCAGGTTTCCAAAAGCGGATATAAGAGGGTTCTGTACTCACCGGTTTTGGAGCTTGGTTCAGTGGGTGAAGGCCAACTATTTGAAGGGTTTCCTAGAATATGAGACAGGAGAGAGGTGAGGAAATGAGGGTGTCTGTCCTCTACTCAGTGGAAATCTTTGAGGATGGTTCATGGCCAACACTCTGTTATCTAATATTGGGCCCTGGGAGTCCTGGGATCCTTTTTTCCATAATTTTTGTATGTGACGCCCACTGTCTTGAGACTTCAAGGTATAAAGAGAAAACAGGAGCATCACACTACCTGATCTCAAAATATGTTACAGAGCTGTAGTAAGCAAAACAGCATGACATTGGCATAAAGAAAGGCACATAGAACAATGGAGCAGAATGAATAACACAGATATATTCCATGCATTTACATCCAATGGTTTTTTATTTTTTCTTTTGAGATGGAGTCTTGCTCTGTCACTCAGGCTGGAGTGCAGAGGTGCAATCTCAGTTCACTGCAACCTCAGCCTCCTGGGTTCAATCATTCTCTTGCCTCAAACTCCTGAGTAGTGGTATTACAGGTGCTGACCACCATGCTCAGCTAATTTTTATATTTTTAGTGGAGACGATGTTTCATCACGTCGGCCAGACTGATCTTGAACTCCTGGCCTCAGGTAATCCACCCGCCTCGGCCTCCCAAAGTGCTGGAATTGCAGGTGTGAGCCACCAAGCCCAGCCCATCCAATGGACTTTGACAAAGGTGCCAAGAACTCACAATCAGGAAAGGACAGTCTTTTCAATAAACAGTGCAGGGAAACCTGGACATCTACATGCAGAGGAATGAAACTGCACCTCTACCTGTCACCATACACAAAAATCAAATGAAAATGGATTAAAGATGTGAGTCTAAGGCCTGAACCTATGAAACACGTAGAAGAAATATTGGGGAAATGCTCCAGGACGTTTGTCTGAAGGAAGACATTTTGTTTTAAACCTTGAAAACACAAGTAATCGAAGCAAAAATAGACCATTGGGATTACCTCAAACTAAGCAACTTCTGCACTGCTAAAAATAAACCAACAAAGTGAAGAGACAACCCACAGATTGGGAGCAAATATGTGCAAACTATGCATCTGAGATGGGATTAATAACTAGAAATATAAGAAGCTCAAACAACTCAATAAAACAAATGATTTAATTGAAAAAGGAGCAAAAGACATGAAATTTCCCCACATATGAAAAAGTGCTCAGTATCACTCATCATCAGAGAAATGCAAATTAAAATCAAAGTGAGTTTTCATCTCACCCCATTAAAATGGCTTTTAGGCCGGGTGAGGTGGCTCACGTCTGTCATCCTAGAACTTTGAGAGCCTGAGGTGGGTGAATCTCATAAGGTCGGGAGTTTGAGACCAGTATGACCCACATAGAGAAACGCTGTCTCTACTAAAAATACAAAAATTAGTCGGGCGTGGTGGCGTGTGCCTGTAATTCCAGCTACTCGGGAGGCTGAGGCAGGAGAATCGCTTGAACCTGGGAGGTGGAGGTTGTGGTGAGCCGAGATAGCGCCACTGCACTCCAGCCTGGGTGAGAAGAGCAAAACTCCATCTCAAAATAAAATGAAATAAATAAAATGGCTTTTAGCTGCAAGACAGGCAAAAGAAATGCTGGCAAAGTGCTAGAGAAAGGAGAACCCTGGTACCCTGTTGGGAGGAGTGTAAATTAGTACAGCGATTACGGAGAAAAGTATGGAAGTCCTTTAAAGAACTAAAAAGAGGTTGGGTGTGGTGGATCAGGCCTGTAATCCCGGCACTTTGGGAGACTGAGGCGGGCACCTCAGTTGAGGTCATGAGTTTGAGAGCAGCCCAGCCAACATGGGGAAACCGCATCTATACTAAAAAAACCAAAAAGTAGCCAGGCATGGTGGCGTGCACCTGTAATCCCAGCTACTAGGGAGGCTGAGGCAGGAAAATCATTGGAACCCAGGAGGCGGAGGTTGCAATGAGCCAAGGTCGCACCACTTTGACTCCAGCTTGGGCTAAGGAGGGAAACTCTTTCTCAAAAAAGAAAAAAAAAAAAAAGAGAACTTTCATAGTATCCAGCAATTTCACTACTGGGTTTATATCCAAAGGAAAGTAAATCAATATATCGAAGTGATATCTGCACTCGTATGATTGGTGCAGCACTGTTCACAGTAGCCAAGATGAGGAGTCAACCTACCTGCCCATCAGTGGGTGAATGGATAGAGAGAATGTAGTACATACGCACAGTGGAGACTACTCATCCATAGAAAGAATAACATCCTGTCATTTGCAGCCACATGGATGGAACTGGAGGTCATTACAAAGATTCCCATTTCTCACCCATATACAGGAGCTAAAAGGTGGATCTCATGAAGGTAGAGAGTAGAATGGTGGCTACTGGAGGGCAGGAAGAAAAGGGTGGAGGGTAAAAAAAATGTATATATATATATATATATAAATGTATTTATGACCACTAGACTTTACACTTAAAAATGGTAAATGTGGCTGGGCGTGGTGGCTCATGCCTGTAATCCCAGCACTTTGGGAGGCAGATGCGGGTGGATCACGTGGTCAGGAGTTGCAGACCAGCTCGACCAACATGGTGAAACCACCTCTCTACTAAAAATACAAAAAGTAGCCTGGCGTGGTGGTGCGCACCTGTAGCACCAGCTACTCAGGTGGCTGAGGCAGGAGAATCGCTTGAACCCAGGAGGCGGAAGTTGCAGTGAGCTGAGATTGTGCCACTGCACTCCAGCATAGGGGACAGAGCTAGACTCTGCCTCAAAAAAAAAAAAATGTTAAAGGTGGTAAGCTATATAGGTATATTTATCCTCAATAAATATTTCTTCAAACAAAAGTAAAGGGTGTAGGGGTTGCTGGTGATGACATCTCTGTGTGGGTGAGAGGCCAGGATGGGCTTCTGGGAAATGGGTAAGGTTGAGGGGCTGAGGGAACCTCTGATCTCCCCAAACTGAGCCCAGTCTCCCTCCTCTGGGTCTCTCCTGACCGCTTTCTCCATCTGCCTGGGTGCCTGGAGCCCTGGCTGCGGGCCTCCATGCAGGCCATGTAGGAGGGTTTGGAGGTGCCCTGTCGGCCATCCTGTGCCCTGATCCCTCCCTCACACCGAGGATGCATCTTCTCTCTGCATCTGTCCATGCTTCTCTCCATCCTCAGCAGGAAGCTCCTCAGCTAAGGCTCTAGGATCATAGGACATGGGACAGCCATGGGCTTTCCTCACCTGTGACAGAAACAAGCAGTGGGTCACTTGACTTTGACCACTCGTAGGGAGAGTCATGGAAAGAGCCGAAGCATCTGTAGGTTCCTCCTTGGGTGGCAGGGCCCAGAGGAAAGTCGGCCTGGAATGTTCCGTTGACCTTGGGCCCTGCAGAGAACCTACGTTCATGGGCCTCCCCCTCCGTGGATAGATGGTACATGTCATAGGAGCTCCAGGAGCTGCAGGACAAGGTCACGCTCTCTCCTGCCAGAACCGTGGGGCCCGGCTGGGCTGAGAGAGAAGGTTTCTCATATAGACCTGGAAGGAGAAGAGGCATTTTCCTTATGGAGGATCTTCCTTGTCACAGCTCCCTTCACCTGAGCTGAGAACTCACTCCCCTGCTCTATGACCTAATGCTCTCTCTCTCTCTCTCTCACCCTCCACCCCATCTCTCTTCATGTCTATTTCCTCCTTCCACCTTCTCTGTCTCTCTAGGTCTCTGACCTCGCTTCCCCACCTCTAGATATGTTTTCCGTTTTTGGATTGTTTTATTCTCTCTGACTCTCCTTGGATTGGTTGACTTGATGTTACTTTTTTAAATTCTAAGTTTCTCACTTTGTGTCCTGTTCATAACTTTCTGCATATTTCTATCTATTATCTGTTGATCTATCTATTTATCTATTCGGTGCCTATCTACAAATTCTCTACTTGTCATCTATATCTATATATCATCTATGTATCTATCACTTGTCTATCTATCCATCAATCATCTGTTATCTATATCTATGTATCATCTCTCTCTCTATGACTTCTGTCTGCCTCTCTATCTCTATGTATTATCTATCTGTCTTCATCATCATCTCTACGTCTCATCTATTAATGAATCAATCAATCATCATCTATGTATCTATAACCTAGTATCTATCATCTACCTATTTATCATCTATCTATATCTATCCATCTATCATCTGTCTTGCTCTGCCTCTCGGTCTCTCTAGTTCTCTTTGGAATCTCTGCAATTCATCCCCACATCTCCATCTTTCTATGTCCTTGTGCCTCTCCCTCAGGACTCTAATTTTAGTGCTTTTCTCTGCTCCCTTCCATCATTCTCACCACTCCTCTGCCCTCTTTTCTCTCTCTTTATGTGTCTGTGAGTCTCTCAATCTCCTTCCTCTGGCCCATTCTCTGTGTGTTTATGTCTTTGCTTTTTGGTGTTCCTGATTTTTCTCTGTGCCTCTCAGTGATCCTTTCATATGTGGGGTTATTTGGAATGTGAGCCTCAGAATCCAGTCTGGAGACTACAAGTTCACACAGCATACAGGGGTTGGTGTTCTGGGGCCATGATATCCTGGGACGATTACTCTCCATTACTTGGAAGGCAGAGGTGTCAGAATAAACACGGCATCTGTAGGTGCCAGAAGGCCTGAGGCCACAGGGCCCAACTCAGGTCAGAAATATGGGTGTCCTTGGGTTCTCCTGGTAGAGAACACTTTGTGGAGGTAAAACAGAAATGAAACTTGTAATCTGTGCCAGGTCTCTGAGCAAAGTCAGCATGGAGGGACACCTCTCTCTGGGACATGTCTGTCTGTCTGTCTCCTTTAACTCCTTCTGTCTTTTCTAACTCTCGGAATGGCCCCTGTGTCTGTCCTCTGTTATGACACCTGGTCTGTACTTGTGTCTCCTGTTTCTCTGTCTCTGTTGGTACAGACCTCACCAAGTCAGTCTCTCTCCATAAGAATACCAAGCTCATCTTCCTTACAACCACCTGGGCCTCCAAGTCCTGGATCATTCACTCTGTGTCCGAATGACAATGAGAAGAATGTCTGGACACTCTCACCTGTGATCACGATGTCCAGAGGGTCACTGGGAGCTGAAAACTGATAGGGGGAGTGAGGAACAGAACCGTAGCATCTGTAGGTCCCTGCCAGGTCTTGCCTCATGCGACCGATGGAGAAGTTGGCCTTGGAGACCCCATCAATGTGCTCTCCAATGAGGCGCAAAGTGTCGTTAAACGTCCCCTCTCTGTGCAGAAGGAAGTGCTCAAACATGACATCTGACCAACATTGCAGGATGACTGTCTCTTCTGATTTCACCAGGCGACCTGGGTGGGCCAGGAGGGAAGGTTTTCTGCGGAATCCTAGGAAGAGAGTTTGTGAATTTAGAAGGTGTCTCTCTTTATCATCCCATCCATGGCACCTGGATTGAGTGAGGCTTCCCCTCCCTGGTGTCTGTCTCTCTCCTTCCTCTCTGTGTCTTCATGTTCTTTTCTGTGCCCATAACTCCTGGTGCAGGTCCTTCCATCTGTCTCCCTCCCTCTTCTCTGTCCCTCTGTCTCTAGTAACCTCTGATTGCCTTGCCGCTGGGCTCAGCCTCATCTCTTCGGCTGTTGTATCTATTTTGAACTAATGTCTTTCCTGCTGTCTATGTGGGGGTGGAAGAGGAACCAGGATAGGCTGCACATCCAGGCTCTTAGCAGCCTGGTTCAATCTCTTTTGGACGAATTGGAATCCTTGGCAGGAGGTATGAACTGAACAGTAAGGCAGGCACCAGTGTCCACACACCCTTTTCCTGGTGGGGACTGGGAGCCACTCTTGCCATGCCTGTACCAGCTTCCATAGCCTGGCTCCTGGTGCTGGTTGGAGGAGTATCAACCGCTCCCTATGTGGATGGAGCCTGGTGGTGGCATCATAATCCCACACTTGCTGATCTTGGTGTAGCCAACCTTCTCCTTGTTTGGTTTCTTTAATTAATTAATTTTGGAGACAGAGTCTCACTCCTTTGCCCAGGCTGGAGTGAAGTGGTGTGGTCTAGGCTCACTGCAACCTCTGTCTCCTGGGTTCAAGTGATTCTCCTGCCCTCAGCCTCCCAAGTCGCTAGGATTACATGCACCTGCCACCACGCCCGGCTATCCTTGTGTCCTTTCTTAACTTTTCCTCGAGCTGGGTTCCGGTGTTGGTTTCCTGTTGCTGCTGTAGAAAATTATCAGCAGCATGGCAGCAGGAGAGAGCACACTGACCCCTTCCATTTTTGGAGGCAGAAGTCGGGCCCTGTTTTTCCTGGGCTAAAATCAAGGCACCTGCAGGGCTTCGTTCCCTCTGGAGACTCAGGAGAATCAGTTCCTTGACTTTTCCAGCCTCTATAGGCCACCTGCATTCATGGCTCCTGGCCTTCCTCCACCTTCAAAGCTGATGGAGACTCCCATTATGCTGCTCTAATCCCCACTCTCCTCTTCCTCCTCCTTTCATGTGGACCCTTGTGACTACACTGAGCCCAGGGGGACAGTCCAGGCCTTCTCCCATCTCAAGGTCAACTCATCAACAACCTGAGCTCCATCTTCCCCTTCAGTCCCTTCCCCTATAACATAAATAGTCACAGACTCCAGGGATTAGAATGTAGTCATCACTGGGGACAATTATTCTTCTCACCACAGTACCCATTTCCCTGTATTCAATCCCCCTTTACCCCAAATACAGTCAGGGCCTGCGTGAAGGGACCCTCAAGGACATGCCTACCGGAAGCTCTGGGATTCAGGAGGTGGGACAAGGAGAATCCCAGACAGGAGCCCTCTGACCTGTGACCATGATCAGCAGGGGGTTGCTGGGTGCCGACCACCCACTGGGGGAGTGTGGGTGTGAACCCCGGCATCTATAGGTCCCTGTGTGTGACGGGGTCACAGGGCCCATGAAAAGGCTTTTCCAGAATATTCTGTTGTAGTGTTCAGGGACAGGCACCCCATCATCCTTGTACAGACTGAAGTTGTTAAACCCAAGATTAGAGTGACACCGAAGAGTCACATGTTCTGGAGGCACCACAAGGCTGGGCCAGGTAGAAAGCAAGGGCTTGTCCTGACCACCTTGGGGAGAAGGAGGCGCCACCTTAGAGAGGAGGATGTGCAGCCGCCCCTCCCTCCCTGTGCTCAGAAGATTCTCCCCACTTTCCACATTTCTATGGCTGCTATCACACCTTGGTGCCTAGGGCTAAAGGAAGGACTCATCCCACAAAGACAAGGTGTCTCCCTACAACAAAAATGTCAGCTGAGAACTTTGAGCAAGTGCTGAGTAAGAGACTCCTACTAGATTTTAATACTGTAAGATTACTCACATAAAACAACACAGGGTAGACATGGGGTGGAGGGCATGTCCTTTGAGAATGGAATATCAGCAGATGCCTGAATGAAAATAAACAACTGAGCCCCCATCAGAGGATTTGGAATGTCAGGGCCATGGCTGTGGTTTCCCACCTCTTCTGGTAGAATGAGAGCAGCCACACTGCAGCCCCTACCATCATGGAAACGCTGAAGTGTGTGAGTAACACCTTTGTCCTCAGAGGATCTGCTGTTCCTACCACTTCCCCACCACACAACCCAGCTTTGAGCACCCTAGTGTAACCCTGGTCCCCACAGAACTTGACTCTGCCAAGGAAATGAAAGGCTGGGGAGGCGAGGTCGGAACTGTGGGCCAAGCACCCCAGGGTCCCCTCTTTCTAGTTTAAGAGAGACTCCCCGACAGGACTTCCCTCCCGTTTCAGGAAAATCCTCTTATGTGGGGAGATGACACCTTAAGGTTTGGAGAAGGACTTACCCTCATGTGGCCAGGCCCCCTGCAGCCAGAAGAACCCTGGAAAGAAAGACCATGATGGACCATCCATCTGCAGGCAAACCAGGCCTCCCTTGCTATCCCCACTAGGCTGTGAGTCTTGGTAGCCAGGCCCTTCCTGGGCCGAAGGGAAACTCACCCTCAGTGCCTACCTGCACCCAAGAACAGGGCTCTCGGCTGTGCAGAGACCCAGCCTCCAGGCCCATATCCCCACCCCAAGCCCATATCTCCACTCCAGGCACATATCTCCACTCCAGGCTGATATTCCCACCCTAGGCCCATATAGCCAATCTGGGCCCACATCTGCAATCCAGGCTCAGATCTCCACCCCAGGCCCATAACTCCAGTCCAGGCCCATATCTCCACTCCAGGCCCATATCTCCTCTCCAGGCCCATATCTCCACTCCAGGCCCATATCTCCACCCCGGGCCCAGATCTCCACCTCCAGGCCCATAACTACATTCCAGGATCATATCTCCACTCCAAGCCCATATCTCCACAACAGGCCCATATCTCCACTCCAGTCCCATATCTCCACCCCACGCCCATATCTCCATTCCAGGCCCATATCTCCACTCCAGGCCCATATCTTCACCACACGCCCATATCTCCACTCCAGGCCCATATCTCCACCCCACGCCCATATCTCCACTCCAGTCCCATATCTCCACTCCACGCCCATATCTCCACTCCAGTCCCATATCTCCACCCCATGCCCATATCTGCACTCCAGTCCCATATCTCCACCCCACACCCATATCTCCACTTCAGTCCCATATCTCCACTCAAGGCCCATATCTCCACCCCACGCCCATATCTCCGCTCCAGGCCCATATCTCCACTCCAGGCCCATATCTCCAACCTCCAGGCCCATATCTCCACTCCAGGCCCATATCTCCATCTCCAGGCTCATATCTCCACTCTAGGCCCATATCTCCACTCCAGGCCCTTATGTCCACCTCCAGGCCCATATCTGCACTCCAGACCCACATCTCCACTCCAGGCCCATATCTGCACTCCAGGCCCCTATCTCCACTCCAGGGCCATATCTCCACTCCAGGCTCATATCTCCACTCCAGGCCCATATCTCCAATCCAGGCCCAGATCTCCACTCCAGGCCCAGATCTCCACCTCCAGGCCCATATCTCCACTCTAGGCCCATATCTCCACTCCAGGCTCATATCTCCACTCCAGGTCCATATCTCCACCTCCAGGCCCATATCTCCACTCCAGGCCCATAACTCCACCTCCAGGCCTATATCTCCACCTCTGGGCCCAGATCTCCATCCCCGCGCTCCCTCCCTCTATTCCCTTCCAGGACTCACCAACACATGCCATGCTGATGACCATGAGCGACATGGTGGTGCCGGAGCAGACAGGCGGCCGCACCCCTAGCTCAGCTCAGCAGCGCACAGGATGTTATTTGGCTCCCTGCCCATGCAGTTTACATGTTGACCACATCATGGGAGGGTGACGTACGCAGGCTCTTTCTACCTTTCATGAGGCCCAGTGGGTGCTCGCTCAAGAGCAGAACACGGCTTCCTGGAAATTGTTCTCACTAGAATTGACACCTCGTGTCCTTCACTATGACCAACTCAAAACACGTCTCAGATCCAACCTCCGGAACACAGGATGCCTAAAATCTGTGCTAACGTGAAAAACTTTTCATGTATTTTTATTGTTTTTATCTGAGATTCAAACTCTTCTTCATGTGTAATATGCAAAATATCTAATAGGTATTATTAATGTTTTCAGAGTCATTGTGACTAATAAACCATTAGAATTTTTCATGCTTGTATTTCTAGTATTACAGCAGAACCAGTTAAAATGATTTAAATTCCCAGGGAAGGATTATGCAATTATTTACAATCTTCGAATTGTACTTTATCAGCAAAAACCACACATGTAAATTCTGGATTTTTATAGTTTTATCTATAATTTGTCTCATGACCCAAGATTCCAGAGTCCCAACTCTGGAGTTTGCTCTCTCTCTGTCTCTGTCCCTCCCTCATTTTAAATTTTACAGAAATATCCAGTAACATAATGCTATAGAAAATCAAGTTTCCCCCAGCATGTTGGGAAGCCGCGGTGGGCGAATCAACTGAGATGAGGAGTTTGAGAGCAGCCTGGCCAACATAGTGAAACCGTGTCTCTGCTAAACATTCAAAAATTAGCCGTGCCTGGTGGCAGACACCTGTAATGCCAGCTACTCAAGAGGCTGAGGCACGAGAATCGCTTGAACCTGGGAGGCGGAGTTTGCAGTGAGCTGAGATTGCACTACTACAGTCCAGCCTGGGTGACAGAGCAAGATTCCGCCTTAAGAAAAAAAAAATAGCAAGTAGCCTATAATAACAAATTAGAGGGCTCTGGCTACTAAATTTAAAGGGTTCTATAAGGCTACATGAAGTGCAGCATCCTCAAGAGTGTGGACACAGAGAGCCCCTTAGCAGAAACAGTGTCTAAAATACATCCGTGTACACACAGTCCCTTTAGAGTTGACAAAGGCTGCCCTGTGGTTTAAGGTGGCATAGAATGTCTTCTCAATAAATAATATTAAACCAAAGGGTTACACGTAGGAAAAAATAAATCTAAACTTATTCTCACACTATAAAAACACTTCTTGTTTTTATCTAGTTTATAATTTTTTTATGATTTATATTTAAAATTGAGAAATAACAGTTTTATACGGTCATCCTTCACTATTCCTGGGTGATTGGTTTCAGGATCTCCACTCAGATACCAAAATCTGCAGATGCTCAAGCCTCTTACATGAAATGGCACAGCATTTGCATATAACCCATGCACATCCTCCTGTGTACATGAAATCATCTCTAGATTACTTATAATTCCTGATATGGCCTACACACTGCTTCATTTGTGTCCCTTCAACATAGTTTTGCTTTTTGAAAGTTTGTGGATTTTCTTCTCTGAATATTTTTTATTTATAGTTGGTTCAATAAACACCTGTAAACCCCACAGATACGGAGGAGCGACTGTATATATATATATAGCATGAAAGATGATGTGTTGATATGTGTCCCCATGGAGATGAGACTAACAAGGCCTATGACTCTACAAATGTTTCATCGTGGAATGACTCTGCCAGCTTTCCAGGTCTGCAGAGAGTAAGAATATCACTTGTTCATGTGATTCATGATCCTTGGAACCTCCTATGTGCTGCATCTTTGGATGGAAATTGGAGTCCCAGAGACAAATGAGGCTCCACCCTGCTTCCAGAAGCTCAGAGTCCAGGGGAGAGAACCCAGTGGATAACAGATGGGGTTATGTGGACATGGTAATGATAACAGCGGTTTCTTTCAGCGAATAGTGTCACATTACCTAAAGCAATGAGGGCAGACATGTTTATTTGAAAAGGAGACAGCTACATTGAAATCACAAAAAATTTTATAAGTTTCACTGCTGACTGACAGAAGGCTGGAAAATAGTCTGAGGAAAGGTGAAACAGCATGAGGGAAGGTGGAACAGCACGTGTCTCAGTGCCATGTTAAGAGGGAGCCTCTTGTATGTCTGGAATTGTGAGTTCCTCAGTGTGATTGCAGCCTCAAGTAGACTAGGAAGTAAGCCAGTTCAGTTGGAGAGGTGGGCAGGGGTCAAGTGAAATAGAGAATTGTGGGCTAAGCAAAGGTGTGTGTCTTCTCTCCAGCAGGCAGTGGGGACCTTAGACATTTGTAAGCAAGAGAGAGGCATGTTCAGATTTGTGGTGTGAGGAAGAGCGATCCCCTAAGATGAAGACTGATGCCTTCAGATTCCAGCTGCTGGTACATGGGAGCTAGCAACCCGGTTTTGAGACAGGGCTGTTGTCTCCCTAGAAGATCCCCTCAAGGCCTGACTGTGGTGCTTATGGGCAGGAGACAATGATCTTGGCTTAGCATTTGGAAGTTCCATGTACATGGTGGTATCTGTTGGAGGTGTCTTGGGCCTCTGAGAAGGGGAAGTGATTTTTGTCTGTGTGAAAACGCAGTGATCCAACTGTGCATATGTCACCTCCTGAGGGTCTTGATCATCAGAGTCCTGGAGAGAGGGAAATGCTGAGTGAGGGAGGGTGCTCACATTCTTCAAGACTATTAGGGAATGAGACTCAATCCATGAGGCTGGGCTGAGGAGAACCTACCTCCCTGTTCACTGTTCTGTCCCCGGCAGGCTCTTGGTCCATTACAGCAGCATCTGTAGGAGATAGAAGTCATCAAAACAGCTGGAAGGGCACTTTTGGGTCCTCATTTCATGAGCAGACACCAACACACAGCGGGAGGCCGTAGGTGCCTGAGGTCCCTCAGCTGTCATCAGCCAGACCCAGACATTCTATCTCTCTGAGCTCAAGGACCCATCCCATGAATAGCTCTGAGTTCCCATCCCAGTGATTCTGTCTCCCCTTTCTGCCTGTCATGGAACCTTCTCCTGGATGTCAGTGGCTGCAGGGGACGTGAGGATACAGTTCAGAATCAGGCAATGGTCTGTGAGCTGAAGGCAGGGGCAGGGTGTCTGGTGCTCTCTCTAGAAAGCCCTGCCTCTGTGGCTCCTGCCTTGGTCCAGGGACCATCCTGCCAGTCAGGAACACACACCAGTGTGCTCCCATCCTGCTTCCCCACATGGTCCTGAGCTCTCTGACCTCTGCTTCGTGAGACTTACTCTTTTTGTTGGAGCAGCAGCAATGAAGGAGAAAGAAGAAGAGGATGATGAAGAGGATGATAGCCACTGAGGTCCCAATCAGAATGTGCAGGTGTCTGCGGATACCTGGGGGAAGGTGGGAATCCAATAAGAAGCTAATTATAGCAGTTCCTCTTTATGGATTGTCTCTCATTTCTTGGTTGCCAGCTAAGCACATACAACATCTGTTTAGGACAAGTTCCCCGATGGCAGGATACCCAGCTTTCTCCTGCTTTCTCAGTTATAGTTCTCAAAATAATCAGAGAACATGCTGGGGATACCACTGCTATAGTTTGAATGTTTGACCCCGCCAAACCTCACGTTGACACTTATCTCGCAGTGTGGGAGGCTGGGCCTATTGAGAGACGTTCCAGTTATGGGGGTGGATCCATCATGAATACATTAATGCTGTCCCCATGAGACGTGGTTGGCAAGTTCTCCATGAGGTCCCTAGGACTGGTTGCTAAAAAGAGCATGGGGTTTCTCCATGTTGGCCAGGCTGGTCTCAAACTCCTGACCTCAAGTGATCCAAACGCCTTGGCCTCCCAAAGTGTTGGGTTACAGGCGTAAGCTCCCATTCACAGACTTGTATATTATGCTATAATAAGTCCCTTCATTTGCACCACCCCTCATCTATCTATCACTCCTCTGCCAGATATTGATTTACATGTAGGAAAAATAAATCTCAGAAAGAAATTAATATATTCAAAATTAAATAAGTAGGCATTATCAAATCCAGCAAGACCTCCCTACAAATGATTCTACCTCACAGACATATCTTATACCCATCTACTTCATTCATTTAGTGTCTAAATCAGCACCACATTTCACCAGTGGGGCGGGAATTGCCTTTTCCACGGTCTCCTAGATTCCAGTTACGCACTTGGGCGTCCCTTATTTTCATGTCAGTCATATTAATCATGTAGGGATTCCTGGTTACCCCGAGGTGAATCCAATGGCTGTGAGTGTCAAACACACGCTCCTTGTTGCTCCTTAGTTTCCTGTGTACCCAGTGTGCTCTCCGTCTCCCTACAGTCATCTTGTCATTCTCCCCACGTCATTCCCAGCATTTGAATGCAGAGCCTCTTCCTTCCACATCAGATTGTTTTCACATTTGTGCCTTCACGGCTGACAGCTGTGTGTGGAAAATCCTTCCGCCCATCTTCCAGGGGTTGAATCTACTTTTTTTTTTCATTATGGTCACAAATATTATCTGATTAGTGAGACTTTCTCTGTCTCCTGAAATTATACACTTAGAATTCTTTATTATTTATTTTAAATTTCGGCTGGGCGCAGTGGCTCACGCCTTGAGTCCCAGCATTTTGGGATGCTGAGACGGTCGGATCACTTGAGGTTGGGAGTTGGAGACAATCTGCGCAACATGGTGAAACTCCATCTCTACTAAAAAATATAAAAGAAAATTAGCTGGGTGTGGTGGAGGGGACTGGAATCACAACTAGTCAGGAGGCTGAGGCAGGAGAATCGCCTGAACCCGGGAGGCGGAGGTTGTGGTGAGCTGAGGTCATGCCACTGCACTCCAGCCCGGGGACAGAGAATGACTTCGCCGCAAATAAATAAATACATAAATAGATAAATAGATAAATAAATAGGTAAATAGATTTCATGCACGGATGCTTCCCAATGGATCAATCATTACTGGTCCACTTGTGCATTCATATTCTGCCCTCCCATTTGCCCATCTGCAATGTCAGTGTCCTAAGAGCAGAGGCCAAATGCATCGTGTTTACCATTTGTGGAAGGCAGGAGAATGCTGGCCCACCCCCAAAATGTCCCTGTCCTAGCCTCCATAGCTTGTGAATATGTTATTTTACATGAAAGGAGGAATAAAGATTGCAGATGGAATTATGGTTGCTAATCAGCTGAACTTAAAAAGAGGTTATCTTGGGTGATTTTAGGGAGATTGTGATGGATTATCTTGGTAAACTCAATAGAATCCCAAAGTCTTTAAAAGAGGAAGAAAAAGTCAGAGCAACACTTAGAGAAAGAGGTGAGGTAAGGAAGAGGGATCTGAGTGATGCCACGTGAGAGATGTGACGAGCTTTTGTGGACTTCGAGGAAGGAGGATGGGGACCAGATGCCAAGGAACGTGGGAACCTCTGGGAGCTGGGAAATGTGAAAAGCCGATTCTCGCCTGGAACCTTCAGAGAAAAGGCAGCCTCGCAGTCACCTTGATTTTAGCCCAGTGAAATGCATTTCATATTTCTGAGCTATAACACTGTAAGATAATTTTAAAAGCTGTGTTGTTGTCATCCATGAAGTTTGTGGAGATTTATTATGGCAACAGCAGGAAAGGGTTCCACACTGTACAGTCAGAGCACAGGGCAGTGGCTGAATAAGTGAGTGAGTGGAAGTGTCATATTCGTGGATGAACTACGTTCCTTCTTACTGCAAGGCTCTTGCTCTGCTGACTCAGCCAAGGTCGCATCATGACCAACAGGGGCTCATTCCTTGGCAAGTGGAACTTCTCTAAATCACCTTTCCCTCATCAGATGTTCCCTTCCCCTCCCTCTCTCAAGTCCCCTCGAATTTATCCTCCAATTTGGAATGCAGGCAGAAAAAACACCACATTATCCCTGAGAAGGATGTCAGATTTGTACTCGTCCGTCTAGCTTGGAGGAGGTCTCAGCTGCAGAAATTTGAAATGAAGAGACTTCACTGAGCCCTTTGCTGTCCTCAGATACCCTTCGCTGTTGTAGTGTCTGGGGGTCAGAGATGTTAGAAGACAGGCCCACAATCACAGAGCTGGGAGGTGCTGAGCCAATGCTTGAATCCAAGATACCAACCTCCCCAGGTTTCCAAAAGCAGAGATAAGAGGGATCTTTACTCACCAGTTTTGGAGCTTGGTTCAGTGGGTGAAGATGAACTACTTGAAGAGTTTCCTAGAACACAGGACAGGAGAGAGGTGAGGAAATGAGGATGCCTGTCTTCTACTCAAAGGAAATCTTTGAGGTTGGTTCATGGCCAACACTCTGTTATCTAATGTTGGGCCCTAGGAGTCCTGGCGTCCCCTTCTCCATCATCATTGTTAAATGATGCCCAGTGTCCTGAGATTTCGAGGTATAAAGACAAAACAGGTGCTGGAGGCCTCACACTCCCTGACTTAAAAATATGTTACAAAGCTGTAGTAAGCACAACAGCATGACATTGGCATAAAGGCCCTTAGAGCAATGGAGCAGAATGAAGAACACAGATATAATTCATGCATTCACATCCAATGGACTTTGACGATTGTAGGTGCCAAGAACCTGCAATCAGGAAACGACGGTCTTTTCAATAAATGGAGCAGGGAAAACTGGTATCTACATGCAGTTGATGAAACTGCACCTCTACCTCTCACCATACACAGAAATCAAATGAAAATGGAAGAAACACTTAAGGCCTGAAACCATTAAGCGTCTAAAAGGAAAGAGTGGGGAAATGCTCCAGGACATTTGTCTGAGGAAAGACATTTTATTTGAAATCTCAAAAACACAAGAAATCAAAACAAAATAATAGACCTTCGGGATTACATCAAAGTAAGCAGCTTCTGCACCGCAAAGGAAGCAACCAACAAAGTGAAGAAGAGACAAATTGGGAGAAAATATTTGTGAAGTATGCATCTGAGAGGGGATTAATAACTAGAATATACATAAAACTCAAGCAACGGTATAAAACAATGAATTTAATTTAACAATTAGTAAAAGACCTGAACAGACATTTCTCAACAAACAAAACGTACAAATGGCGAACATGTACATGAAAAAGTGCTCAGTATCACTAATCATGCCAATTGAAATCACAGTGAGCTATCATCTCATCCCATTAAAGTGGCTTTTATCTGAAACACAGACAAAATGAATGCTGGCAAGGTGGTAGAGAAAGGAGAACCCTGGTACCCTGTTGATAGGATCTAGCAATTCCACTACTGGGTGTAAACCCAAAGGGAAGGACATCAGTGTATCGAAGTGATATCTGCACTCATACGATTGGTGCAGCACTGTTCACAGTAGCCAAGATGTGGAGTCAACTTACCTGCCCGTCAGTGGGTGAATGGATAGAGAGAATGTAGTACACACACACAGTGGAGAGTACTCATCCGTAGAAAGAATAACATCCTGACATTTGCAGCCACATGGATGGAACTGGAGGTCATTGCAAAGATTCCCATTTCTCACCCATATACAGGAGCTAAAAGGTGGATCTCATGAAGGTAGAGAGTAGAATGGTGGCTACCAGAGGGCAGGAAGTAAAGGGTGGAGTGTAACAACAACAATAAAAAAGAATATAGATGTATTTATTTATTTAGAGACAGAATCTCTCTCTGTCTCCCAGGCTGCAGTGCAGTGGCCTGATCTCAGCTCAGTGCAACCTCTGCCTCCTGGGCTTACGTACTTCTCCTGCCTCAGCCTCCCATGTAGCTAGGAATACAGGTGCATGCCAGCATGCCCAGCCAATTTTTCTTGTCTGTTTAGTAAAGATGAATTTCCCTCATGTTGGCCAGGCTGATCTCGAGCCTCTGATCTTAAATGATCCACCTTCCTTGGCCTCTCAAAGCACCGAGATTATAACTGTGAGCCACTGCACCCTGCATATAAAGGAATTTATGACCACTAGATTTTACTTTTAAAAATGGTAAAGGTGGCAAATTATATAGTTACATTTAACCTCAATAAATGTTTTTTCAAACGGAAAGAAAAGGGTGTAGGGGTTGCTGGTGATGACATCTCTGTGTGGGTGAGAGGCCAGTATGGGCTTCTGGGAAATGGGTAAGGTTGAGGGTCTGAGGAGCCTCTGATCTCCCCAAACTGAGCCGAGTCTCCCTCCTCTGGGTCTGTCCTGACCACTTTCTCCATCTGCCTGGGTGCCTGGAGCCCTGGCCGCGGGCCTCCATGCAGGCCGTGCAGGAGGGTTTGGAGGTGCCCTGTCTGCCATCCTGTGCCCTGATCCCTCCCTCACACCATGCTGCGTGTTCTCTCTGCATCTGTCCATGCTTCTCTCCATCATCAGCAGGAAGCTCCTCAGCTAAGGCTCTAGGATCACAGGACATGGGACAGGCATGGGCTTTCCTCACCTGTGACAGAAACAAGCAGTGGGTCACTCGGGTCTGACCACTCATAGGGTGAGTCATGGAGAGAGCTGAAGCATGTGTAGGTCCCTCCGTGGGTGGCAGGGCCCAGAGGAAAGTCAGCCTGGAATGTTCCATCGACGCTGGGCACTGCAGGGAGCCTAGGTTCATGGGCCCTCCCCTCCCTGGATAGATGGTACATGTCAAATGAGCTCCTGGAGCTGCAGGACAAGGTCACGTTCTCTCCTGTGCGAACCGTGGGGCCCGGCTGGGCT
Organism: Homo sapiens; assembly: GCF_000001405.40. Lineage (NCBI taxonomy): Eukaryota > Metazoa > Chordata > Mammalia > Primates > Hominidae > Homo > Homo sapiens. Next base: position 178,899 of record NT_187675.1, on the reverse strand, counting down.
GAGAGTGAAGGTTTCCCAAATAGACCTGGAAGAAGAGGCAGTTTCCTCAGGGAGGTTCTTCCTTGTCACAGCTCCCCTCACACCTGAGCTGAGAACTCACTCCCCTGCTCTATGACCTAATGCTCTCTCTCTCTCTCACCCTCCACCCCCGACTCTCCCTGTGGATCCCTCCCTATGCAGCTCCAGCCTGGTGGTGGCATCAGCAGTGCACCCTTGCTGACCTTAGGGTAGCCAACCCTCTTGTTTGGTTTTTTAACTTGTCCTTGACCTGGATTCCTGTGTTGTTTCCTGTTGTTGCTGCAGAAAATTATCACAAACACGGCGGCGGGAGAGAACACTTCTGTTGACAGAAATCAGACCCTGTTCTTCCTGGGCTACAATCAAGGCATCTGCAGGGCTGCATTCCCTCTGGAGACTCGGGAGAATCAGTTCCATTGACTTCTCCAGCCCCTAAAGGCCACCTGCATTCCGTGGCTTCTGGCCTTCCTCCACTTTCAAAGCCCGCAGTGGCTGGTGGACTCTCCCTCCCACTACGCTGCTCTAATCCCCACTCTCCTCTTCCTCCTCCTCTCATGTGGACCCTTGTGATTACACTGAGCCCAGTGGGAGAGTCCAGGTCGTCTCCCCATCTCAAGGTCAACTCATCAACAACCTGAACTCCATCTTCCCCTTCAGTCCCATGTCCTATAACATAAATAGTCACAGGCTCCAAGGATTACAATATAGCCATGCTGCCGACAGTTACTCTTTCCACCACAGCACCCATTCCCCTGTATTCAATCCCCATTGACACCAAATACAGTCAGGGCCTGGATGATTGGACCCTGGTGGACACCCCCACCAGATGCTCTGGGATTCAGGAAGTGGGAGAAGGAGAAGCCCAGACATGAGTCCTCTGACCTGTGACCACGATCACCAGGGGGTTGCTGGGTGCCGACCACTCAATGGGGGAGCGCGGGTGTGAACCCCGACATCTGTAGGTCCCTGCGTGTGCAGGGGTCACAGGGCCCATGAGGATGCTCTTCCAGAATATTTTGTTGTAGAGCTCAGGGACAGGCACCCCATCTTCTTTGTACAGACTGAAGATGGTAAACCCAAGACGAGAGCGACACAGAAGAGTCACATGTCCTCCTCGAGGCACCACAGCGCTGGGCCAGGCAGACAGCAAGGGCTTGTCCTGTCCACCTGGGGGAGAAGGAGGCGCCACCTTAGAAAGGAGGATGTGGAGCCGCCCCTCCCTGCCAGTGCTCAGAAGATTCTCCCCACTTTCCTCGTTTCTAAGGCTCCTACCACACTTGGGTGCCCATGGGTACGGGAAGGACCCACCCCGCATAGACTTGGCGTCTCTCTACAACAAAAGTGTCAGCTGAGAACTTTGAGCAAGTGCTGAGTAAGGGACTCCTACTAGATTTTAATACTGCAAGATTACTCACATAAAACAACACAAATAGACATGGGGTCGAGGGCATGTTCTTTGTGAATGGAATATCAGCCAATGTGTGAACCACAATACACAACTGAGCCCCCAACAGAGGATTTGGAAGGTCAGGGCCCTGGCTGGGGTTCCCCCACCTCTGAGGTAGAATGACAGCAGCCACACTGCAGCCCCTACCGTCATGGAAACGCTGGAGGGTGTGAGTTACACCTTTGTCCTCAGAGGCCTGCTGTTCCTAGCACTGCTTTGCTCCCTTCCTCTGCCAGTGACACCACATCCCAGCCGCACAGCCCAGCTTGGAGGACCCCAGTCTACCCTCCCGGGTTCCCACAGAACCTGACTCAGCCAAGGGAAAGGAAGGCTGGGGAGGGCAAGGTCGGAACTGTGGGCTGAGCACCCCAGGGTCTCCTCATCCTTGTTTATAAGAAAATCCCCCACCGGGCTTCCCTCCTGTTTCAGGAAAATCCTCTTATGTGGGGAGATGACACCCGAAGGTTTGGAGAAGGACTCACCCTCATGTGTCCAGGCCCCCTGCAGCAAGAAGAACCCTGGAAAGAAAGATCATGATGGACCATCCATCTGCAGGCAAACCAGGACTCCCTTGCTGCCCCCACTGGGCTGTGAGTCTTGGTAGCCAGGCCCTTGCTGGGCTGAAGGGAAACTCACCCTCAGTGCCTGCTTGCACCCAAGAACAGGGCTGTCGGCTGTGTAGAGACCCAGCCTCCAGGCCCATATCCGCACCCCAGGCCCCTATCCCCACCCCAAGCCCATATCTCCACTCCAGGCCCATATCTCCACTCCAGGCCAATATTTCCACCCTAGACCCATATCTCCAATCCAGGCCCATATCTCCACCCCAAGCCCATATCTCCATCCTAGGCCCATATGTCCACTCCAGGCCCAGATATCCACCTCTAGGCCCATATCTCCACCTCCAGGCCCATATCTCCACCTCCAGGCCCATGTCTCCACTCCAGGCCCATATCTCCATCCCAGGCCAATATCTTCACTCCAGGCTCCTATCTCCCCTCCGGGTTCCTATCTCCACTCCAGGCCCAGATCTCCACTCCAGGCCCATATCTCCACCTCCAGGCCCATATCTCCACTCCAGACCCAGATCTCCACTTCTAGGCCCATCACTCCATCTCCAGGCCCATATATCCACTCCAGGCCCAGATCTCCACTCCAGGCCCATAACTCCACCTCCAGGCCTATATCTCCACCTCTGGGCCCAGATCTCCATCCCCGCACTCCCTCCCTCTATTCCTTTCCAGGACTCACCAACACACGCCATGCTGATGACCATGAGCGACATGGTGCTGCCGGTGCAGACAGGCGGCCGCGCCCCAGCTCAGCTCAGCAGCGCACAGGATGTTATTTGGCGCCCTGCCCATGCAGTTTACATGTTGACCACATCACGGGAGGGTGACGTACGCAGGCTCTTTCTACCTTGCATGAGGCCCAGTGGGTGCTTGCTCAAGAGCGGAACACGGCTTCCTGGAAATTGTTCTCACTAGAATTGGCACCTCGCGTCCTTCACTATGACCAACTCACAACACGTCTCAGATCCAACCTCCCGAACACAAGATGCCTAAAATCTGTGCTAACGTGAAAGACTTTTCATGTATTTTTATTGTTTTTATCTGAGATTCAAACTCTTCTTCCTGTGTAATATGCAAAGTATCTAATAGGTATTATTAATGTTTTCGGAGTCATTGTGACTAATAAACCATTAGAATTTTTCATGCTTGTATTTCTAGTATTACAGCAGAACCAGCTAAAATGATTTAAATTCCCAGGGAAGGATTATGCAATTATTTACAATCTTAGAATTGTACTTTATCAGCAAAAACCACACCTGTAAATTCTGGAGTTTTGTAGTTTAATCTAAAATTTGTCTCATGACCCAAGATTCCAGAGTCCCAACTCTGGAGTTTGATCTCTCTCTGTCTCTCTCCCTCCCTCGTTTTAAATTTTACAGAAATATCCAGTAACATAATGCTATAGAAAATCAAGTTTTCCCCAGCACGTTGGGAAGCCGAGGTGGGCGGATCAACTGAGATAAGGAGTTTGAGAGCAGCCTGGTCAACATAGTGAAACCGTGTCTCTGCTAAAAATCCAAAAATTAGCCGTGCCTGGTGGCAGGCACCTGTAACGCCAGCTGCTCAAGAGGCTGAGGCACGAGAATCGCTTGAACCTGGGAGGTGGAGGTTGCAGTGAGCTGAGATTGTGTCACTGCAGTCCAGCCTGGGCGACAGAGCAAGACTCCGCCTCAAGAAAAAAAAAGCAAATAGCCTATAATAACAAATTAGAGGGCTCTGGCTACTAAATTTAAAGGGTTCTATAAGGCTACATAAAGTGCAGCGTCATCAAGAGTGTGGACACAGAGAGCCCCTTAGCAGAAACAGTGTCTAAAATACATCCATGTACACACAATCCCTTTAGAGTTGACAAAGGCTGCTGTGTGGTTTAAGGTGGCATAGAATGTCTTCTCAATAAATAATATTAAACCAATGGGTTACACCTAGTAAAAAATAAATCTAACTGACACTATAAAAACACTTCTTAGTTTTTATCTAGTTGTACATTTTTTATGATTTATATTTAAATTTGAGAAATAAAAGTCATATACGGTCATCCTTCACTATTCGTGGGTGATTGGTTTTGAGATCTCCACTCAGATACCAAAATCTGTAGATGCTCAAGCCTCTTATATGAAATGGCACAGCATTTGCAAATAACCTATGCACATCCTCCTGTATACATGAAATCATCTCTAGATTACCTATAATTCCTGATACAGCCTACACACAGCTTCATTTGTGTCCATTTAACATAGTTATGCTTTTTGAAACTCTGTGGATACTTTCTCTCAATATTTTTGATTTATACTTGGTTCAATAAACACCTGTAAACCCCGCAGATATGGAGGAGTGACCGTATATTTATATTATGAAAGAAGATGTGTTGATATGTGTCCCCATGGAGATGAGACTAACAAGGCCTATGACTCTACAAATGTTTCATTGTGGAATGACTCTGCCAGCTTTCCAGGTCTGCAGAGAGTAAGAGTATCACTTGTTCATGTGATTCGCGATCCTTGGAACCTCCTATGTGCTACATCTTTGGATGGAAATTGGAGTCCCAGAGACAAATGAGGCTCCACCCTGCTTCCAGAAGATCAGAGTCCAGGGATGAGAACTCAGTGGGGAACAGATGGGATTATATGGACATGGTACTGATAACACCGGAAGCCTTAGGCAAGAAAAGAGTCCCATTACCGAAACCATGGGGGCAGACATGTTTATTTGAAGGATGGAAAACTACATTGAAGTTATTTTAAAAAGTATATAAGTTTTACTGCTGACAGAAGGCTGAAAGCTAGTCTGAGGGGAGGTGGAACAGCATGAGGGAAGGTGGAACAGCACGTGTCTAAGTGCTGCGTTAAGACGGAGCCTCTTGTATGTGTGGAATTGTGAGTTCCTCAGTGTGATTGCAGCCTCAAGTAGACTAGGAAGTAAGCCAGTTAGGTTGGAGAGGTGGGCAGGGGTCAAGTGAAATGGAGAACTGTGGGCTAAGCAAAGGAGTGTGTTTTTTCTCCAGCAGGCAGTGGGGACCTTAGACATTTGTAAGCAAGTGAGAGGCACATTCAGATTTGTGGTGTGAGGAAGAGCGATGCCCTAAGATGAAGACTGATGCCTTCAGATTCCAGCTGCTGGTACATGGGAGCTGGCAACCCAGTTTTGAGACAGGGCTGTTGTCTCCCTAGAAGATCCCCTCAAGGCCTGACTGTGGTGCTCGTGGACAGAAGACAACTTTGGATCTGGGCTCAGCATTTGGAAGTTCTATGTACATGCTGGTATCTGTTGGGGGTGTCTTGGGCCTCTGAGAAGGGCGAGTGATTTTTCTCTGTGTGAAAACACAGTGTTCCAATTATGCGTATGACACCTCCTGATGGTCTTGTTCATCAGAATCCTGGAGAGAGGGAAATGCTGAGTGAGGGAGGGTGCTCACATTTTTCAGGACTCTTTGGGAATAACACTAGCCACGAGGCTGGGCCGAGGAGCACCTACCTCGCTGTTCACTTCTGTTCCCTGCAGGCTCTTGGTCCATTACAGCAGCATCTGTAGAAGACGGAAGTCAACAAAAGAGCTCGGAGGGCACTTCTGGGTCCTCATTTCATAAGCAGATACCAACAAACAGGGGGAGGCCATAGGTGCCTGAGGTCCCTCAGTTGCCAACAGCAGACTCAGACATTCTATCTCTCTGAGTTCAAGGACCCATCCCATGAATAGCTCTGAGGTCCCATTCCATTGATTCTATCTCCCACTTTCTGCCTGTCATGGAACCTTCTCCTGGATGTGAGTGGCTGCAGGGGACGTGAGGATACAGTTCAGAATCAGGCAATGGTCTGTGAGCTGAAGGCAGGGGAAGGGAATCTGGTGCTCTCTCTAGAAAGTCCTGCCTCTGTGGCTCCTGTCTTGGGCCAGGGACCATCCTGCTGGTGAGGAACACACACCCGTGTGCTCCCATCCTGCTTCCCCACATGGCCCTGAGCTCTCTGGCCTCTGCTTCGTGAGACTTACTTTTTTTTGTTGGAGCACCAGCGATGAAGGAGAAAGAAGAGGAGGATGGTGAAAGGGATTTTGACCACTGAGGTCCCAATCAGAATGTGCAGGTGTCTGAGGTTACCTGGAAGAAGAGGAGACACCAATAAGAAGCTAATCATAGCAGTTCCTCTTTATGAATTGTCTTGCATTTCTTGATTCACAGGTAACCACATACAGCGTCTCTTTAGGACAAGCACCCAGATGGCGGGAGACCCAGCTTCCTCCTGCTTTCTCAGTTATAGCTCTCATAGTAACCATAGAACGTGCTGAGGATACCACTACTTTAGTTGAGATGTTTGACCCCTTCAAACCTCAGATTGAAATTTACCCCCCAGTGTGGGAGGGTGGGCCTCTTGGGAGGTGTTTGAGTCATGGGGGTGGATACATCATGAACAGATCAATGCTGTTTTAAGGAGACGGGGTTAGCAAGTTCTCCCTCTATTAGTTCCTGGAGAGCTGGTTGTTCATAAGAGCTTGGAAGCTCCATCACTCCCCCTCTCCCTTGCTCCCTCTCTTGCCGTGTGATCTCTGTGGTCTCTGCACAGACAGACCCTCCTTCCCTTCTGCCAGAGTGGGAGCAGCCTGAGGCAGTCACAAGAAATAGATGCTGGTGCCATGCTTCCAGTACAGCCTGCGGAACTGTAAGGCAAACCAAAATCTTTTGTTTAGAAGTTACCCAGGCTCAAGTGTTCCTTTAGAGCAACAAAAATGGACTAAGACAGCAACGTCCTGAGATCAGGAGGAAAGTCCCAGAACAGCCTGGGCTGTCTTCCTGTTCTTCCTGGAGGAGGACGTGATGCAGTGCTTTAGCTGAGTGCTTCCTGTGGCTCCAGGGTACAAAACCCAGGTTGGGCTGCTTTCTGGCTTCCCCCAGCTACACTGCAAATGGGGTGACTCCACATGTCTCGAGCAGCTTTTCTGAGCCTTGGGGAACTGGCTCACATTGAAATGTAGGCTTCTGTTGTCACTCGCTGCTTATCTGTTAGTAATGAACCTGCCTGTGTAATGTGTTCTCTGTGTGTTCTGTCTCCCTGGAGTGACGGTGAGTGATAGGAATTGGCATAGGCCCAGGTGCAGTCCAGGAGGTGTTTAGAGTCTTCTCTGGGAAGACTGGACTGGGATTGATACACAGCGAATGTGCTTTAGGATTTCTACATCCACGGCATTCTTGAGTTAAACAACTTGCATTCTCCAAGAAAAGGAAACAAAAGTGAAATCAAGATCAAAAATGCGAAGTAGAATTCTCTTATGTCAAACAGCCAGAAAATAGTGTTGAAGCCCGTGTGAAATGTGCTATTCTTTGTGATCTCGGGAGACACATGTTAGGCTGCTGTTCTACCTGACAGGCTGGGGGAAGGACCACCCCCTCGACTATCTATTGCTTCAATACCACCTGTCCTCCTGTGAATTAGTAGGAAAGGGGAGCAGGAGCTAGTGCTGGCACTGATCTCTGATTCCAAGATCTGGACTCACTCCAAGGAGTATTAGCATTTACCTCCCCATGGTCTATCTGTATCTGCACAGGTGATTGGAAGTAGGGGTGAGGTGGGGGATTTGGGTGAGGGGGCAAGTTTTTTTTGTGATGACCAGAGCACTTTCTCTATTCCAGGATTTGTGCTGGAGGATTCAGCGGGCTTTCACATTTTCTATATGATCTCATGCTCACAGAAAGCCAAATACGGAAGAGGTTTTAGGCTGATTGTCTAATGGATAAGATAAAGAATCAAAGAAGTAATTATAGAGAAATAGAAAAATGATGATGGGAATTCAGGTGCCTTTGTCGTTCGTGTGTGTTTTATTATATTTATGCATTTCTTATTTTTATTTTTTGAGACGGAGTCTCCTTGTGTCACCCAGGCTGGAGTGCAGTGATGCGATCTCCACTCACTGCAACCTCCACCTCCTGGGTTGAAGTCATTCTCCTGCTTCATCCTCCAGAGCAGGAGCTGGGATCACAGGGATGCACCACCATGCTCGGCTAATTTTTGTATTTTTAGGAGAGATAGGGTTTCACCATGTAGAGATAGGGTTTCACCATGTTGGCCAGGCTGGTCTCGAACTCCTGATTTCTTGGAATCCACTGGCCTTAGCCTCCTGCAGTGCTGGGTTACAGGAGTGAGCCACCGTTCACAGACTTGTATACTATGCTATAATAGGTCCCTTCATTTCCACCACCCCTCATATATCTGTCACTCCTTTGCCAGGTATTGATTTATGTGTAGGAGGAATAAATCTCAGAAAGAAATTAATTTAGCAAGGATTAAACAACTAGGAAACTCAAACCCAGCAAGCCCTCCCTGCAAATGATTCTACCTCCCAAGCATAGCTTATATCCATCTGCTTCATCCACTTAGGGTCTAAATCAGCACCACATTTCACCAGTGGGGTGGCAATTGCCTTTTCCACAGTCTCCTAGATTCCAGTTACGCACCTGGGCCTCCTTTATTTTCATGTCAGTCATATTAATCATGTAGGGATTCCTGGTTACCCCGAGGTGAATCCAATGGCTGTGAGTGTCAAACACACACTCCTTGTTGCTCCTTAGTTTCCTGTGTACCCAGTGTGCTCTCCGTCTCTCTACAGTCGTCTTGTCATTCTCCCCACTTCATTCCCAGCATTTGAGGCAGAGCCTCTTCCTTCAACATCAGATTGTTTTCACCTTTGTGCCTTCACAGCTGACAGCTGTGTGGAAAATCCTTCCGCCAATCTTTCAGGGGTTCAATCCGTGTTTTTCATTAATGTCACAAATATCTGATTAGTGAGACCTTCTCTGTCACCCAAAATTATACACTCAGCATTATCTATTATTGATTTTGAATTCTGGCTGGGCAAAGTGGCTCACGCCTGTAATCCCAGTACTTTGGGTTGCTGAGATGGTCGGATCACTTGAGGTTGGGAGTTTCAGACAAGCTTGGCCAACATGGTGAAACATCCTCTCTACAAAAAATATACAAAAAGAGTTAGCCGGGCATGGTGGCAGTTGCCTGTAATCCCAGCTACTCGAGAGGGTGAGGCAGGAGAATCACTTGGATCCAGGAGACGCAGGTTGCAGTGAGCCAAGATCGTGACACTGCACTGTAGCCTGGAAGACAGAGGGAGACTCTGTCTCAATAAATAAATGAACGAACAAACAAATAGATTTCATGCACAGATGCTTCCCAATGGATCATTCATTTATTGGTCCACTTGTGCATTCATTTTCTGCCCTCCCATTTAACCATCTGCAATATCAGTGTCCCAAGAGCAGAGGCCAAATGCATCTTGTTCACCGTTCGTGGAAGGCAGGAGAATGCTGTCCCACCCCAAAATGTCCCTGTCCTGGCCTCCATAGCTTGTGAATATGTTATTTTACATGGAAAGGAGGAATGAAGATTGCAGATGGAATTACGGTTGCTAGTCAGCTGAACTTAAAACAAGGGTATCCTGAATGATTTCCGGGAGATTATGATGGATTTTCATCTTGGTGAACCCAATAGAATCCCCAAGTTTTCAAAAGATAAGGAAGAAGGGAGAGCAGCATTCAGAGAAAGAGGTGTGGTAAGGAAGAAGGGTCTGAGTGATGCCATGTGAGATGTGACCAGTCTTTGTGGGCTTTGAGGAAGGAGGAAGGGGACCAGGAGCCAAGGAACTGGGAGCCTTTAGAAGCTGGGACAAGTGAGAAGCAGATTCTTGCCTGGAACCCTCAGAGGGAAGGCAGCCTTGCTGTCACCTTGTTTTTAGCCCAGTGAGATGCACTTCATACTTTGAGCTACAGCACTGTAAGATAATTAAAAAGCCGCTTTATTTTCACCCACGAATCTTGTGGAAATTTGTTATGGCAACAATAGGAAAGGATTCCAACTGCACAGCCTGAGCATGGGGCCGTGGCTGAATGAGTCAGTGAGTCGAAGTGTGCGTGCATGAGCTCTGTTCTCTGTTACGGCAAGGCTCTTGCTCTGCTGAGTCAGCCAGGGTTGCTTCATGACCAACAGTAATTCATTCCTTGGCAAGTGGAACTTCTCTAAAACACCCACCCTCATGAGATGTTCCCTTCCCTTCCCTCTCTCAAGTCCCCAGGAATTTATCCTCCAGTTAGGAATGCAGGCAGAAAAAACACTGCATTTTTCCTGAGAAGGATGTCAGATTGGCAATCATTCTTCTAGCTTGTAGGAGGTCTCACCTGCAGGACATTAAAGGTTAAGAGACTTCGCTGAGCCCTTTGGTGGCCCTAGATCCCTTTCACTGTTGGAGTGTCTGGAGTTCAGAGATGGTGGAAGACAGGCCCTCATTCACAGAGCTGGGAGGTTTGAGCCAACGCTTGCATCCAAGGCTTCCACCTCCCCAGGTTTCCAAAAGCAGAGATAAGAGGGGTCCTTTACTCACCAGATTTGGAGCTTGGTTCTGTGGGTGAAGGCCAACTACTTGAAGGGTTTCCTAGAACATGGGACAGGAGAGATGTGAGGAAATGAGGGTGCTTGTCCTCTACTCAATGGAAATCTTTGAGGTTGGTTCATGGCCAACACTCTGTTATCTAATGTTGGACCCTGGGAGTCTTGGGATCCTCTTCTCCATAATTTTTGTGTGCGATGCCCACTGTCTTGAGACTTGAAGGTATAAAGAGAAAACAGGAGCATCACACTACCTGACTTAGAAATATGTTACAGAGCTGTAGTAAGCAAAACAGCATGACATTGGCATAAAGAAAGGCACATAAAAAATGGAACAGAATGGAGAACACGGATATGATCCATGCATTTACACCCAATGGCTTTTTTTTGTGTGTGTGTGATGGAATCTTGCTCTGTCATGCAGGCTGGAGTGCAGAGGTGCAATCTCAGCTCAATGCAACCTCCACTTCCTGGATTCAAGCAATTCTCTTGCCTCAAACACCCGAGTAGTGGTATTACAGGCACTGGTCACCATGCTCAGCTAATTTTTGTATTTTTAGTAGAGACGAGGTTTCACTCTGTTGGCCAGCCTGGTCTTGAACTCCTGGCTTCAGGTGATCCACCCGCCTCGGCCTCCCAAAGTGCTGGAATTGCAGGTGTGAGCCACCATACCCAGCCCATTTAATGGACTTTGACAAAGGTGCCAAGAACTCACAATCAGGAAAGGACAGTCTTTTCAATAAATGGTGTGGGGAAAACTGGATATCTACATGCAGAGGAATAAAACTGCATCTATACCTGTCACCATAAACAAAAATCAAATGAAAATGGATTAAAAACATGAGTCTAAGGCCTGAACCTATGAAACATGTAGAAGAAAATAATGGGGAAGACATTTGTCTGACGAAAGACATTTTGTTTAAAACCTTCAAAACACAAGTAATCAAAGCAAAAAATAGACCATTAGGATTACATCAAACCAAGCAACTTCTGCACCACAAAAGATAAACCAAGAAAGTGAAGAGACAACCCACAAAATAGGAGCAAATATTTGCAAACTATTCATCTGAGACGGGATTAATAACTGGAAATATAAGAAGCTCAAACAACTCAATAAAACAATTTAATTAAAAAACGAGCAAAAGACATGAGGAGACATTTCTCCACAAACAAAACATAGAAATGGCGATCACGTATATGAAAAAGTACTCGGCATCACTCATCATCAGAGAAATGTAAATTACAATCGCGATGAGTTTTCATCTCATCCCATTAAAATGCCTTTTAGGCCGGTGGCTCACGCCTGTAATTCCGGCACTTCAGGAAGCGGAGGTGGGCGGATCACCTGAGGTCGGGAGACCAGCCTGACCATCATGGAGAAACTCCCTCTCTACTAAACATACAAAAATTAGCTAGGCGTGGTGGCACACGCCTGTAATCCCAGCTACTTTGGAGGCTGAGGCAGGAGAATCAGTTGAACGCGGGAGGCGGAGGTTGCAGTGAGCTGAGATCACACCCTTGCACTCCAGCCTGGGCGACTATGAGTGAAACTCCATCTCAACATAAATAAATAAATAAAATAAAGTAAAGTAAAATGGCTTTTATCTGCAAGACAGGCAAAACAAATGCTGGCAAGATGGTAGAGAAAGGAGAACCCTGGTACCCTGTTGGTAGGAATGTAAATTAGTACAACTATTATGGAGAAAAGTATGGAAATTCTTTAAAAAACTAAAAGGAGGCTGGGCATAGTGGCTTATGCCTGTAATTTCAGCACTTTGGGAAACCGAGGCAGGCACCTCACTTGAGGTCAGGAGTTTGAGAGCAGCCTGCCCAAAATTGGGATATCCCGTCTGTGCTAAAAAAATACAAAAATTAGCCAGGCATGGTGGCATGCACCTGTAATCACAGCTACTAGGGAGGCTGAGTCAGGACAATCATTTGAACCTAGGAGGCACAGGTTGCAATGAGCCAAGATCTCACCACTTAGACTCCAGCTTGGACTAAGGAGGGAAACTCTTTCTCAAAAAAGAAAAAAAAAAAAAAGAGAACTTTCATAGTATCCAGCAATTTCACTACTGGGTTTATATCCAAAGGAAAGGACATCAGTGTATCGAAGTGATATCTGCACTCATATGACTGTTCCAGCACTGTTCACAGTAGCCAAGATGTGGAGTCAACCTACCTGCCTATCAGTGGGTGAATGGATAGAGAACTGTGGTACACACACACAGTGGAGACTACTCATCCATAGAAACAATAACATCCTGTCATTTGCAGCCACATGGATGGAACTGGAGGTCATTACAAAGATTCCCATTTCTCACCCACATGCAGGAGATAAAAGGTGGATCTCATGAAGGTGGAGAATACAATGGTGGACACCAGAGGCCAGGAAGGGAAGGGTGGAGGGTAACAAAAAAAAGAATATAGATGTATTTATTTATTTAGAAACAGAGTCTCTCTCTGTCTCCCAGGCTGCAGTGCAGTGGCATGATCTCGGCTCAGTGCAACCTCGGCCTCCTGGCTTTAAGTGCTTCTCCTGCCTCAGCCTCCCAAGTAGCTAGGACTACAGGTGCATGCCAGCATGCTCGGCTAATTTTTCTTGTCTGTTTAGTAAAGATGAATTTCCCACATGTTGGCCAGGGTGATCTCGAGTTCCTGATCTTAAATGATCCACCTTCCTTGGCCTCTCAAAGCGCCGAGATTACAACTGTGAACCACCACGCCCAGCATATAAAGGTATTTATGACCACTAGATTTTACTTTTAAAAATGGTAAAGGTGGTAAATTATATAGTTACATTTAACCTCAATAAATATTTTTGAAAATGAAAAGAAAAGGGTGTAGGGGTTGCTGGTGATGATATCTCTCTGTGTGGGTGAGAGGCCATGATGGGCTTCTGGGAAATGGGTAAGATTGAGGGGCTGAGGGAACCTCTGATCTCCCCAAACTAAGCCCAGTCTCCCCTTCTCTGGGTCTGTCCTGACCGCTTTCTCCATCTGCCTGGGTGCCTGGAGCCCTGATCGGAGGCCTCCATGCAGGCCATGAAGGAGGGTTTGGAGGTGCCCTGTCTGCCATCCTGCGCCCTGACTCCGCCCTCACACCTGCTGTGTCTTCTCTCTGCATCTGTCCATGCTTTTCTCCATCATCAGCAGGAAGCTCCTTAGCTAAGGATTTAGGATCATAGGACATGAGAGAGATATGGGCTTTTCTCACCTGTGACAGAAACAAGCAGTGGGTCACTCGGGTCTGACCACTCGTAGGGAGAGTGACGGAAAGAGCCGAAGCATCTGTAGGTCCCTCCGTGGGTGGCAGGGCCCAGAGGGAAATCTGCCTGGAATGTTCTGTTGACCTTGCGCACTGCAGGGAGCCTACGTTCATGGGCTCCCCCCTCCCTGGATAGATGGTACATGTCATAGGAGCTCCGGGAGCTACAGGACAAGGTCACGCTCTCTCCTGCCTGAACCTTGGGGCCCGGCTGGGCTGAGAGAGAAGGTTTCTCATATAGACCTGGAAGGAGAAGAGGCAGTTTCCTCAGGGAGGTTCTTCCTTGTCACAGCTCCCCTCACACCTGAGCTGAGAACTCACTCCCCTGCTCTATGACCTAATGCTCTCTCTCTCTCTCTCACTCTCCACCCCATCTCTCTTCATATCTGTTTCCTCCTTCTACCTTTTCTGTCTCTCTAGGTCTATGACCTCACTTCCCCACCCTGAGGTATGTTTTCCCTTTTTGGATTGTTTTATTCTCTCTGACCCTCCTTGGATTGGTTGACTTGATCTTCCTTTTTCTTTAATTTTGAGTCTCTCACTTTCTGTCTTGTTCATAACTTTCTGCACATTTCTATCTATTATCTATCGATCTATCTATTTATCTATTTTGTGTCTATCTACAAATTATCTATCATCTATATTTATGTATCACTTATCTATCTCTCTATCAATTGTCTATCTGTCTATCTATCCATCAATCATCTATTATCTATATATGTATCATCTATCTCTCTCTCTATTACCTCTCTGTCTGCCTCTCTGTCTCTATTTATGTATCATCTATGTATATATCTATGTGTCTATCATCATCATCGTCATCATCATCATCTCTATGTATCATCTATCAGTCATCATCTATGTATCTATAACCAATCCATTATCTATCATCTACCTATTTATCATCTATCTACGTCTATCTATCCATCTATCATCTCTCTCTCTCCGTCTCCTTGTCTTTCTCTGCCTCTCAGTCTCTCTAGTTCTATTTGGAATCTCTGCAATCCATCCCCACATCTTTATCTTTCTCTGTCTTTGTGTCCCTCCCTCAGGGTTCTGATTTTGGGGCTTTTCTCTCCTCCTTTCCATCATTCTCTCCACTCTGCCCTCTTTTCTTTCTTTTTATGTGTCTGTGAATCTCTTAATCTCCTTCTTCTGGCTCATTTTGTGTGTGTTTATGTCTTTGCTTTTTGGTGTCCCTGATTTTTCTCTGTGTCTCTCAGCGATCCTATCATATGTGGGATTATTTGGAATATGAGCCTCAGAATCCAGTCTGGGGACCCCAAGTTCACACAGCATACAGGGGTTGGTGTTCTGGGGCCATGATATCCTGGGATGATTACTCTCCATTGCATGGAAGGCAGAGGTGTCAGAATAAACACGGCATCTGTAGGTGGCACAAGGCCTGAGGCCACAGGGCCCAACTCAGGTCAGAAATATGGGTGTCCTTGGGTTCTTCTGGTAGAAACACTTTGTGGAGGTAAAACAGAAATGAAACTTCTAACCTGTGCCAGGTCTCTGAGCAAAGTCAGCATGGAAGGACACCTCTCTCTGGGACATGTCTGTCTGTCTGAGTGTCTCCTTTACCTCTTTCTCTCTTTTCTACCTCCCTGTATGGCCCCTGTGTCTGTCCCCTGTTATGACACCTGTTCTGTACTTATGTCTCCTGTTTCTCTGTCTCTGTTGGTACAGACCTCACCAAGTCACTCTCTTTCCATAAGAATCCCACACTTATCTTCCTCATGACCACCTGGGGGTTCCAAGTCCTGGATCATTCACTCTGTGTCCCAGTGACAATGAGAACAATGTCTAGACACTCTCACCTGTGACCACGATGTCCAGGGGATCACTGGGAGCTGACAACTGATAGGGGGTGTGAGTAACAGAACCGTAGCATCTGTAGGTCCCTGCAAGGGCACGCATCATGGAACCGATGGAGAAATTGGCCTTGGAGACCCCATCATGGATCTGTCCAACGAGGCGTGAGGGGTCCTTAGAGATCCACTCTTTGTGCAGAAAGAAGTGCTCAAACATGATATCTGACCAACATTGCAGGATGACTCTCTCTCCTGATTTCACCAGGGGACCTGGGTGGGCCAGGAGGGAAGGTTTTCTGTGGTTTCCTAGAAAGAGAAGTTGTGAGTTTAGAAGGCATCTCTCTTTATCATCCCATCCATGGCACCTGGAATGAGTGAGGGTTCCCCTCCCCGTGTCTGTCTCTCTCCTCCCTCTCTGCATCTCCGTGTCTTTTCTGTGCCCATATCCCCTGGTGCAGGTGCCTCCATCTGTCTTCCTCCCTCTTCTCTGTCCCTCTGTCTCCAGTAGCCCCTGACTCCCTTGCCACTGTGAAGACAGCCTCATCTCTTGGGCTGTTGTATCTGTTTCCCACTAATCTCTTTCCTGCTGTTTATATGGGGGTGGAAGAGGACAGGCTGCATGTCCAGGCTCTTAGCAGCCTGAATCAATCTCTTTTGAACAAATTGGAGTCTCTGGCAGGTGGTATCAACTCATCAGTAAGACAGACATCAGTGACCACACACCCTGTTCCTGATGGGGATTGGGAGCCTCTCCTGCCATGTCTGTGCCTTCTCCATGGCCCCAGCTTCCATAGGGTGGCCCCTGGTGCTGGTTCCAGGAGCATCAACCCCTTCCTATGTGGATGGAGCCTGGTGGTAACATCAGCATCCTGCCCTTGCTGATCTCAGGGTAGCCAACCTTCTCCTTGTTTGGTTTCTTTAATTAATTGATTAATTAATTTATTTTTGAGACAGTCACTTTTTCACCCAGGCTGGAGTGTAGTGGTGTTGTCTTGGCTCACTGAAACCTCTGCCTCCCCAGTTCAAGTGATTCTCTTGCCTCAGCCTCCCCAGTCGTTGGATTACTCGCGCCCACCACCACACCTGGCTGTCCTTGTTTGGTTTCCTAACTTGTCCTTGACCTGGGTTCCTAACTTGTCCTTGACCTGGGTTCCTGTGTTGGTTTCCTGTTGCTGCTGCAGAAAATTACCACAAACATGGCAGCAGGAGAGAACACACTGACCCCTTCCACTTCTGGAGACAGAAATTGGATCCAGTTCTCCCTGTGCTGAAATCAAGGCGTCTACAGGGCTGCGTTCCCTCTGGAGAATCAGCGAATCAGTTCTCCTGACTTCTCCAGCCCTTAGAGGCCACCTGCATTCTGTGACTAGTGGTCTTCCTCCACTTTCAAAGCCCGCAGTGGCTGATAGCGTCTCCCTCCCACTACACTGCTCTAATCCCCACTCCCCTCTTCCTCCACCTCTCACGCGGACCCTTGTGATTACACTGAGCCCAGTGGGACAGTCCAGGCTGTCTCCCCATCTCAAGGTCAACTCATCAAC
Organism: Homo sapiens; assembly: GCF_000001405.40. Classification (NCBI taxonomy): domain Eukaryota; kingdom Metazoa; phylum Chordata; class Mammalia; order Primates; family Hominidae; genus Homo; species Homo sapiens. The sequence goes on along the minus strand of NT_187675.1, from coordinate 161,862 downwards.
AACCTGAGCTCCACCTTCCCCTTCAGTCCCCTGCCCTATAACATAAATAGTCACAGGCTCCAGGGATTACAATGTAGCCATCATTGGGGACAGTTATTCTTCCCACCACAGCACCCATTTGCCCTGTATTCAATCTCCCTTGACCCCAAATACAGCCAGGGCCTGGGTGATGGGACCCTGACGGACAGCCCCACCAGAAGCTCTGGGATTCAGGAGGTGGGACAGTGAGAAGCCCAGACGGAAAGCCTCTGACCTGTGACCATGATCACCATGGGGTTGCTGGGTGCCGACCACCCAGTGGGGGAGTGTGGGTGTGAACCCCGACATGTGTAGTTCCCTGCATGTGCTGTGGTCACAGGGCTCATGTTGAAGCCCTCCTGGAATATTCTGCCATGGAAGATGGGAACGTGGATTCTGTCTTCTTTGTATAGCATGAAATTGTTAAACCTATGACGATAGTGACACCGAAGAGTCACGTGTCCTCCGCGAGGCACCACAGCGCTGGGCCAGGCAGACAGGAAGGGCTTGTCCTGACCACCTGGGGGAGAAGGAGGCACTGCCTTAGAGAGGAGGATGTGGAGCCGCCCCTCACTCCCAGTGCCCAGAAGATTCTCCCCATTTCCACTTTCTAAGGCTCCTACCACACCTGGGTGCCCAGGGCTACAGGAAGGACCCATCCTGCATAGACATGGCGTCTCCCTACAACAAGTGTCAGCTGAGAACTTTGAGCAAGTGCTGGAGAAGCAACTCTTACTAGATTTTAATACTGCAAAATTACTCATATAAAACAATACAAAGTAGACACGGCATGGAGGGCAAGTCCTATGTGAATGGAATATCAGCCAATTGATGAACTGAGCCCCCATCAGAGGATTTGGAATGTCAGGGCCATGGCTGTGGTTTCCTCACCTTTTCTGGTAGAAAGACCGCAGCCACACTGCAGCCCCTACCATCACGGAAACGCTGGAGGGTGTGAGTTACACCTTTGTCCTCAGAGGACCTGCTGTTCCTAGCACTGCTTCCCTCTCTTTCTCTGCTGCTGACACCACTTCCTCCCTGCACACCCATCTTGGAGCACCCTAGTCTCACCCCAGTCTTCACAGAGCTTGACTCAGGAAAGGGAAAGAAAGGCCGGGGAGGGCAAGGTCAGAAATGTGGGCCGAGCATCCGAGGGTCCCCTCTTCCTAGTGTATGAGAGACTCCCCGACAGGACTTCCCTCCCATTTCAGGAAAATCCTCTTATGTGGGGAGATGACACCCTAAGGTTTGGGGAAGGACTCACCCATGTGTGGACCGGCCCTCTGGACCAAGAACAACCCTAGAAAGAAAGATCATGATGGACCATCCATCTGCAGGCAAACCAGGGCACCCTGCTGCCCCCACTGGGTTGTGCGTCTTGGCAGCCAGGCCCTTGCTGGGCTGAAGGTAAACTCACCCTCGCTGCCTACCTGCCCCCAGGAACAAGGATCTCGGCTGTGCAGAGACTCAGCCTCCAGGCCCAGATCTCTACCTCCAGGCCTAGATCTACACAACAGGCCCAGATCTCCACTCCAGGTCCGTATCTCCACTCCAGACCCATATCTCCTCTCCAGGCTGATAAGTCCACTCCAGGCCCATATCTCCACTCCAGGCTCCTATCTCAACTCCAGGCTCATATATCCACTCCAGGCTCATATCTCCACTCCAGGCCCATATTTCCACTCCAGGCTTCTATCTCCTCTCCAGGCCCATATCTCCTTTCCAGGCTTGTATGTCTGCTCCAGGCCCGTATCTCCACCCCAGGCCCATATCTCCACTCCAGGATCATATCTCCACTCCAGGCCCAGATCTCCACTTCATGCCCTTAACTCCACCTCCGGGCCCATAACTCCACCTCTAGGCCCATATCTCCACTCCAGGCCCATATCTCCACTTCAGGCCCATATCTCTACTGCAGGCCCATAACTCCACCTCCAGGCCCATATCTCCACTCCAGGCCCATCGCTCCACTTCTAGGCCCATCACTCCACCTCTAGGCCCACATCTCCCCTCCAGGCCCATATCTCCCCTCCAGGCCCATATCTCCACCCCAGGCACATATCTCCACCCCAGGCCCATATCTCCACTCCAGGCCCAGATCTCCACTCCAGGCACATATCTCCACCCCAGGCCCCTATCTCCACTCCAGGCCCAGATCTCCACTCCAGGCCCAGATCTCCACTTCAGGCCCATAACTCCACCTCCAGGCCCATAACTCCACCTCTAGGCCCATATCTTTACCTCCAGGTCCAGATCTCCATCCCCGCACTCCCTCCCTCGATTCCCTTCCAGGACTCACCAACACACGCCATGCTGACGACCATGAGCAACATGGTGCTGCCGGTGCAGACAGGCGGCTGCGCCCCAGCTCAGCTCAGCAGCGCACAGGATGTTATTTGGCGCCCTGCCCATGCAGTTTACATGTTGACCACATCATGGGAGGGTGACGTACGCAGGCTCTTTCTACCTTGCATGAGGCCCAGTGGGTGCTCGCTCAAGAGCGGAGCATGGCTTCCTGGAAATTGCTCTCACTAGAATTGACACCTCGCGTCCTTCACTATGACCAACTCAAAACACGTCTCAGATCCAACCTCCTGAACACGAGATGCCTAAAATCTGTGCTAACATGAAAGACTTTTCATGTATTTTTATTGCTTTTATCTGAGATTCAAACTCTTCTTCCTGTGTAATATGCAAAATATCTAATAGGTATTATTAAGGTTTTCAGAGCAATTGTGACTAATAAACCATTAGAATTTTTCATGATTGTATTTCTAGTATTACAGCAGAACCAGTTCAAATGATTTAAACTCCCAGGGAAGGATTATGCAATTATTTACAATCTTAGAATTGTACTTTATCAGCAAAAATCACAACATGTAAATTCTGGATTTTTGTAGATTTATCTAGAATTTGTCTCATGTCCCAAGATTCCAGAGTTCCAACTCATGGTTTGCTCTCTCTCTGTCTCTCTGCCTCCCTCATTTTAAATTTTACAGAAATATCCAGTAACATAATGCTATAGAAAATCAATTTCCCCAGCACTTTGGAAGCCGAGGTGAGTGATCAACCGAGGTCAGGAGTTTGAGACCAGCCTGGCCAATATAGTGAAACCATGTCTCTGCTAAAAATACAAAAATTAGCCATGCCTGGTAGCAGGCACTTGTAATGCCAGCTATTCAAGAGGCTGAGGCACGGAATCCCTTGAACCTGGGAGGCAGAAGTTGCAGTGAGCCGAGATCGTGCCACTGCACTCCAGCCTGGGCAACAGAGCGAGACTCTGCCTCAAGAAAAATAAAAAAAGCATAGCAAATAGCCTATAATAAATAACTAGAGGACTCCAGCTACCAAATTTTAGGGGTTGTATAAGGCTGCATAAAATGCAGCATTCTCAAGAGAGTGGACAGAGAGAGAGCCACTGAGCAGAAAACAGTGTCTAAAATACATCCGTGTACACACAGTCCCTTTATAGTTGACAAAGGCTGCCATGTGGTTTAAGGTGGAATAGAATGTCTTCTCAATAAATAACATGGGCCCAAGGGTTACACATGGAGAAAAATATATCTAAAAGTATTCTCACACTATAAAACACTTGTTTATTTTATCTTGTTATTGTAATTTTTTTATGTTTTATATTTAAAATTGAGAAATAAAAATTATATACAGTCATCCCTCATTATTCGTGGGTGATTGGTCTCAGGATCTCCACTCAGATAGCACAATCTGCAGATGCTCAAGCCTCTTACATGAAATGGCACAGCATTTGCAAATAACCCATGCACATCCTCCTGTGTACATGAAATCATCCCTTGATTATTTATAATTCCTGATACAGCCTACACACAGCTTCATTTGTGTCCATTCAACATAGTTTTGCTTTTTGAAACTTTGTGGATTTTTTCTCTGAATATTTTTGATTTATATTTGGTTCAATAAACACCTGTAAATCCCACAGATACAGAGGACCGACTGTATATTTATAGTATGAAAGATGATGTGTTGATATGTGTCCCCGTGGAGATGAGACTAACAAGGCCTATGACTCTACAAATGTTTCATCATGGAATGACTCTGCCAGCTTTCCAGGTCTGCAGAGAGTAAGAATATCACTTGTTCATGTGATTCACGATCCTTGGAACCTCTTATGTGCTGCATCTTTGGATGGAAATTGGAGTCTCAGAGACAAATGAGGCTCCACCCTGCTTCCAGAAGCTCAGAGTCCAGGGGTGAGAACCCAGTGGAGAACAGTTGGAGTTATTTGGACATGGTAATGATAACACTGGAAACTTTCAGCCAAAAAAAGAGTCACCTAAAGAATGAAGGCAGACATGTTTATTTGAAGAGGAGAGAACTACACTGAAATCAAAAAAATTTTATAAGGTTTGCTGATGCCAGAAGGCTGAAAAATAGTCTGAGGAAAGGTGGAACAGCACGAGGGAAGGTGGAACAGCACGTGTCTAAGTGCCGTGTTAAGAGAGAGCCTCTTGTATGTTTGGAATTGTGAGTTCCTCAGTGTGATTGCAGCCTCAAGTAGACTAGGAAGTAAGCCAGTTAGGTTGGAGAGGTGGGCAGGGGTCAAGTGAAATAGAGAATTGTGGGCTAAGCAAAGGAGTGTGTTTTCTCTGCAGCAGGCAGTGGGGACCTTAGACATTGGTAAGCAAGAGACAGGCACCAGATTTGTGGTGTGAGGAAGAGTGATGCTCTAAGATGGAGACTCACGCCTTCAGATTCCAGCTGCTGGTACATTAGAGCTGGCAAGCTGGGTTTGAGACAGGGCTGTTGTCTCCCTAGAAGATCCCATCAAGGCCTGACTGTGGTGCTCATGGGCAGGAGACAACGCTCTGGGCTCAGCATTTGGAAGTTCTATACACACGCTGGTATCTGTTGAGGGTCTCTTGCTCCTCTGAGAAGGGCCAGTGATTTTTCTCTGTGTGAAAATGCAGTGATCCAACTGTGCGTATGTCACCTCCTGAGGGTCTTGTTCATCAGAGTCCTGGAGAGAGGGAAATCCTGAGTGAGGGAGGGTGTTCACATTTTTCAGGACTATTAGGGAATAAGACTGTATCCATGAGGCTGGGCTAGGAGGACCTACCTCCCTGTTCACTGTTCTGTGTCCCGCAGGCTCTTGGTTCATTACAGCAGCATCTGTAGGAGACGGAAGCAATCGAAACAGCTGGGAGGGCACTTCTGGGTCCTCATTTCATGAACAGATACCAACACACAGGGGGAGGCCATAGGTGCCTGAGGTCCCTCAGCTGCCAACAGCCAGACTCAGACATTCCATCTCTCTGAGTGCAAGACCCCATTCCATGAATAGCTGTCAGTTCCCATCCCATTGATTCTATCTCCCACTTTCTGCCTGTCATGGAATCTTCTCCTGGATGTGAGTGGCTGCAGGGGACGTGAGGATACAGTTCACAATCAGGCAATGGTCTGTGAGCTGAAGGCAGGGGCAGGTTGTCTGGTGCTCTCTCTAGAAAGCTCTGCCTCTGGCTCCTGCCTTGGGCCAGAGACTTTCCTGCCAGTGAGGAACACACACCTGCGTGCTCCCATCCTGCTTCCGCACAGGGCCCTGAGTTCTCTGGCCTCTGCTTCGTGAGGCTTACTTTTTTTTTTGGAGCACCAGCGATGAAGGAGAAAGAAGGGAAGGATGGTGAAGAGGATGATGGCCACTGAGTACCTAATCACAGCATGCAGGTGTCTGGCGATACCTGGAGGAAGATGAGAATCCAATAAGAAGCTAACCATAGCAGTTCCTCTTTGTGGATTGTCTCTCATTTCTTGGTTGCCAGGCAACCACATAAAACACCTCTTTAGGACAAGCACCCACGAGGCGGGAGACCCAGCTTTCTCCTGCTTTCTCCGTTATAGTTTTCATAATAACAATAGAATGTGCTGATGATACAACTGCTATTGTTTCAATGTTTGACCCCTCCAAACCCCACTTTGAAATTTAATCCCCAGTGTGGGAGGTTGTGCCTATTGGGAGGGGTGTTTTGGTCATGGGGGTGGATCCATCATGAATAGATTAATGCTGTCCCCAGAGGACGGGGTTAGCAAGTTCTCCCTCTATTAGTACCCTGGAGAGTTGATTCTTAAAAAGAGCTTGGAAGCTCCATCACACCCCCTTTCTCCCTCTCTTGCCATGTGATCTCTGTGGTCTCTGCACACGCAGGACCCCCTTCTCTTCTGTCAGTGTGGGAGCAGCCTGAGGCCGCAGCCAGAAATAGATGGTAGTGTCCTGCTTCTAGTACAGCGTGCAGATCAGTGAGCCAAACACATCTCTTTTCTTTAGAAGATACCCAGGCTCAAGTGTTCTTTTATAGCAACAAAAATAGGCTAAGACAGCAACATCCTGAGATCAGGAGGAACGTCTCAGAACAGCCTGGGCTGTCTTCCTGTTCTTCCTGGAGGAGAACATCATGCAGTGCTTTAGCTGAGTGTTCCCTGTGGCTCCAGGGTACAAAACCCAGGCTGGGCTGCTTTCTGGCTTCCCCCAGCTACAGTGCACATGAAGTGACTCCATGTGTCCTGAGCAGTTTTTCTGAGCCTTGAGGGACTGGCTCACCCTGAAAGGAAGGTTTCTGTTGTCACTCGCTGCTTATCTATAAGTAATGAACCTGCCTATGTAATGTATTCCCTGTGTGTTCTGTCTCCCTGGAGTGATGGTGAGTGATAGAAATTGGCACAGCCCCAGGTGCAGTATGGGAGGTGTTTAGAGTCTTCTCTGGGAAGACTGGACTGGGATTGATACACAGTGAATGTGCTTTACAGTTTCTACATCCACAACCCTCTTGACTCAAACAAATTACATTCTCCAAGAAAAGGAAAAAACAGTGACATTGAAATCAACATAAGTGAGGTTGAGCTGTCTTATATCAAACAGCCAGGAAATAATGATGAAGCTCGTGGGCAACATGCTACTTTTGTCATCTTGGGAGTCAGATATTAGGCTGCTGTTCCACCCGAGAGTCTGGGGGAAAGACCACCCCCTCCATCATCTGTTGCTTCAATACAGCCTGTCTTTCTGTGAATTACTCCAAAAGGTGACCAGGAGATAGTGCTGGCACTGGTCTCTGAGTCTACGATCTGAACTCCAAAGAATATTAGTTTTTACCTCCCCATGATCTATCTGTATCATTAATGTGATTGGAAGTAGGGGTGAGGTGGGGGATTTGGGTGAAGGGGCAAGTTTTGTGCCATGAACAGATCACGTTCTCTATTCCAGGACCTGCGCTGGTGGGTTTCACATTTTCCATATGATCTCATGCTCACAGAAAGCCAAATAAGGAAGATGTTTTCGCCTGATTTTCTTATGGATAGGATAAAGGATCAAAGAAGTCATTATAGAGAAATAGAAAAATGATGATTGGAATTGGTGTGCCTTTGTCATTCGTGTATGTTATATTATATTTATGTATTCTTTATTTTTATTTTTTGCCATGGAGTCTCACTCTGTCACCTAGGGTGCAGTGCAATGACGCGATCTTGGCTCACTGTAACCTCTCCCTCCCTGGTTGAAGCCATTCTCCTTCTTCAACTTCCCGAATAGCTGGTATTACAGGCATGCGCCACCACCCCCAGCTAGTTTTTGTATATTTAGTAGAGATGGGGTTTCACCATGTTGTCCAGGCTGATCTCGAACTCCTGATCTCACTTGATCCAGCCTCCTCAGCCTCCCAAAATGTTGGGTTACAGGTGTGAGCCACCGTTCAGAACCTTGTGTGTTATATTATAATAGGTCTCTTCCTTTGCACCACCCCTCATGTATCTCTCACTCCTCTGCCAAGTATTGATTTACATGTAGGAAAAATAAATCTCAGAAAGAAATCAATGAAGTGAAGATTAAACAATTAGGAAAAATCAAAGCAGGCAAGCCCTCCCTGCAAATTACTCTACCTCACAAACACATCTTGTGTCCATCTTTCATTCATTTAGTGTCTAAATCAGCACCACATTTCACCAGGGGGGCGGGAATTGCCTTTTCCACAGTCTCCTAGATTCCAGTTATGCACCTGGGCCTCCCTTATTTTCATGTCAGTCACTATTCATCATGTAGGGATTCCCAGTTAGCCCCGAGGTAAGTCCAATGGCTGTGAGTGTCAAACACACGCTCCTTGTTCCTCCTTAGTTTCCTGTGTACCCAGAGTGCTCTCTGTCTCTCCACAGTCGTCTTGTCATTCTCCCCATCTCATTCCCAGCATTTCAGGCAGAGCCTCTTCCTTCCACATAACATTGTTTTCACCTTTGTGCCTTCACGGCTGACAGCTGTGTGGAAAATCCTTCCGCCAATCTTCCAGGGGTTGATCTATTTTTTTCATTAAGGTCACAAGTATTATTTGATCAGTGAGAACTTCTCTGTCACCCGAAATTATACACTCAGCATTATCTATTATTTCTTTTAAAATACGGCTCGGCGCCTTGGCTCACGCCTCGAATCTCAGCACTTTGGGAGGCTGAGACGGGCGGATCCCTTAAGGTTGGGAGTTTGAGATAGCCTGGGCAACATGGTAAAACCTTGTCTGTACTAAAAAAAAAATACCAAAAAAAAATTAGCCAGGCGTGGTGGGACATGGGTGTAATCCCAGCCTCTCGGGAAGCTGAGTGTAGAGAATCGCTTTAACCTGGGAGGTGGAGGTTGCGGTGAGCCGAGATCCCGCCACTGCACTCCAGCCTGGGGCACAGAGGGAGACACCGTCTCATAAAAACAACCAATCAATCAATCATTCTCATGCACAGATGCTTCCCAATGGATCATTCATTTATTGGTCCACTGGTGCATTCATTTTCTGCCCTCCCATTTAATCCTTTGCAATATCAGTGTCCAAGAGCAGAGGCCAAATGCACCTTGTTTACCATTTGTGGAAAGGATAAGAATGCCGCCCCACCCCAAAATGTTCCTGTCCTAGTCGCCATATCTTGTGAATATGTTATTTTACATGGAAAAAAGGAATGCAGATTGCAGATGGAATTACGGTTGCTAATCAGCTAACCTTAAAAGGAGGGTATCCTAGATGATTTTAGGGAAATTATGATGGATTATCTTGGTGTTTCCAATAGAATGCCAAAGTCCTTAAAAGATGAGGAAGAAGGCAGAGCAGCATTCAGAGAAAGAGGTGTGGACAAGGAAGAAGGGTCTGAGTGATGCCGTGTGAGAGGCGTGACCAGCCTTTGTGGACTTTGAGGGAGGAAGACGGGGACCAGGAGCCAAGGAATGTGGGAGCCTCTAGGAGCTGGGAAAAGTGAGGAAGCAGATTCTTGCCTGGAACATTCAGAGGGAAGGCAGCCTTGCTGTCACCTTGATTTTAGCCCAGTGAGATGATGCATTTCATACTTCTGAGCTACAGCACCATGAGATATTTTTTTAAAATGTGGTTTCCATCCACGAAGCTTGTGGAAATTTGTTATGGCAACATAGGAAAAGGTTCCACACTGCACAGTCTGAGCATGGGGCAGTGGCTGAACGAGTAAGTGGAAGTGTCATGTGCACGGATGAACTACGTTCTCTCTTACCGCAAAGCTCTTGTTCCACTAAGTCAACCAGGGTTGGATCATGACAGACAGGAGCTCATTCCTTGGCAAGTAGAACTTCTCTACAAATACACCACCCTCAAAAATGTTCCCCGTCCTTCCCCTTCTCAAGCCCCCAGGCATTTGTCCTCCCAGTTAGGAATGCAGGCAGAACAAACACAGCATTTTTCCTGAGAAGAATGTCTGATTTGCACTCATCCTTCTACCCTGAGGTCTCAGCAGCAGAAAATTAGAGATTAAGAGATTTCACTGAGCCCTGTGCTGGGCCCAGATCCCTTTCGCTGTTGGAGTGTCTGGGGTTCAGAGACAATGGAAGACAGGCCCACAATCACAGAGCTGGCAGGTGCTGAGCCAACGCTTGAATCCAAGGCTTCTACCTCCCCAGGTTTCCAAAAGCAGAGATAAGAGGGGTCCTTCACTTACCAGTTTTGAAGCTTGGTTCAGTGGGTGAAGGCCAACTACTAGAAGGGTTTCCTAGAACATGGGACAGGAGAGAGGTGTGGCAATGAGGATGCCTGTCTTCTACTCAATGGAAATCTTTGAGGTTGGTTCATGGCCAACATTCTATTATCTAATGTTGGGCCCTGGGAGTCCTGGCATCCCATTCTCCATAATCATTGTAGGTGACACCAACTATCTTGAGACTTCAAGGTATAAGGAGAAAACAGGAGCATCACACTACCTGACTTAAAAATATGTTACAGAGCTGTAGTAAGCAAAACAACATGACATTGGCATAAAGAAAAGCACATAAAACAATGGAGCAGAATGAAGAACACGGATGTAATCCACCCATTTACATCCAATGGACTTTGACAAAGGTTCGAAGAATCTACAATCTGGAAAGGACAGTCATTTCAATAAATGGTGCAGGGAAAACTGGATATCTACATGCAGAGGGATGAAACTGCACCTCTACCTCTCACCATACACAAAAATCAGATGAAAATGGATTAATGACTTAAGACCTGAATCCATTAAATGTCTAAAAGGAAACACTGGAGAAATGCTCCAGGACATTTGTCTGAGGGAAGACATTTTGTTTAAAACCTCAAAAACACAAGTAATCACAACAACAACAAAAAAATAGACCATTGGGATTATATCAAATCAAGCAGCTTCTGCACCGCAAAGGAAGCAACCAATGAAGTGAAGAAGAGACAACCCACAGAATGGGAGCAAATATTTGCAAACTATGCATCTGAGATGGGATTAATAACTAGAATATAAAAGAAGCTCAAACACCTCAATAAAACTAATAATTTAATTATAAAATTAGTAAAAGACCTGAACAGACATTTCTCAATGAACAAAACATACAAATGAACATATATACATTGCATATATGAAAAAGTGCTCAGTATCACTAATCATCAGAGAAATGCAAATGAAGTCACAATGAGCTATCATCTCACCCCATTACAATGGGTTTTATCTCAGAGACAGACAAAACAAATGTTGGCAAGGTGGTGGAGAAAGGAGAACCCTGATACACTGTTGATAGGAATGTAAATTAATACAGCCATTACAGAGGAGAAGAATATGGAAGTTCCTTAAAAACTAAAAAGAGATTAGGCACTGTGGCTCACGCTTGTAATCCCAGCACCTTGGGAGGCTGAAGTGGGCAGATCACTGGAGGTCAAGAGTTCGAGACCAGCCTGGCTAACATGGTGAAACCCCGTCTCTACTAAAAATACAAAAATCAGCCAGGCGTGGTGGCGGGCACCAGTAATCCCAACTACTCGGGAGGCTGAGGCTGGAGAATCACTTGAATCCTGGAGGTAGAGGTTGCAGTGAGCCCAGGTGGTGCCATTGCACTCCAGCTTGGGCAACAAGAGTGAAACGCTATGTCAAAAAAACAAAAAGCATAAAACAAAACCTAAAAAGAGAACATCCAGAGGATCTAGCAATTCCACTAGTGGGTGTAAATGCAAAGAAAAGGACTTCAGTGTATTGAAGTGACATCTGCACTCCCATGACTGTTCCAGCACTGTTCACAGTAGCCAAGATGTGGAGTCAACCTACCTGCCCATCAGTGGATGAATGGATAGAGAGAATGTAGTACATACACACAATGGAGACAACTCATCCATACAAAGAGAAACGTCCTGTCATTTGCAGCCACATGGATGGACTGGAGGTCATTACAAGGATTGCCATTTCTTACTCACATGCAGGATGTAAAAGGTGGACCTCATGAAGGTAGAGAGTAGAATGGTGGATACCAGAGGTTAGGAAGGAAGGGGTGGAGGGTAACAAAAGAAGAATATAAAAGTATTTATTTATTTATTTAGAGACAGAGTCTCTCTGTGTCACCAGGCTGCAGTGCAGTGGCATGATCTCAGCTCACTGCAACCTCCTCCTCCTGGGTTTAAGCCACTCTCCCGCCTCAGCCTCCCAAGTTGCTGGGATTATAGGCGCCTGGCACCATGCCTGGCTAATTTTATTTTTTTTGTCTTTTTAGTAAAGATTGGTTCCCCCATGTTGGCCGGGCTGGTCTCCAGCCCCTGATTTTAAATGATCCACCTGCCTTGGCGTCTCAAAATGCTGAGATTACAGGCGTGAGCCACCGCACACAGCATATAAAGGTATTTATGATCCCTAGATTTTACACTTAAAAATGGTAAAGTTGATAAATTATATAGGTATATTTAACCTCAATCAGCATTTTTTCAAAGGAAAAGAAAAAGTGTAGGGGTTGCTGGTGATGACATCTCTGTGTAGGTGAGAGGCCAGGGTGGGCTTCTGGGAAATGGGTAAGGTTGAGGGGCTGAGGGAACCTCTGATCTCCCCAAACTGAGCCCAGTCTCCCTCCTCTGGGTCTGTCCTGACCACTTTCTCCATCTGCCTGGGTACCCGGAGCCCTTACTGCAAGCTTCCATGCAGGCCATGCAGGAGGGTTTGGAGGTGCCCTGTCTGCCATCCTGTGCCCTGATCCCACCCTCACACCATGCTGCATCTTCTCTCCACATCTGTCCATGCTTCTCTCCATCATCAGCAGGAAGCTCCTCAGCTAAGGCTCTAGGACCATAGGACATGGGACAGACATTGGCTTTCCTCACCTGTGACAGAAACAGGCAGTGGGTCACTCGGGTCTGACCACTCGTAGGGAGATCCATGGAAAGAGCCGAAGCATCTGTAGGTCTCTCCGTGGGTGGCAGGACCCAGAGGGAAGTCGGCCTGGAATGTTCCATTGATGCTGGGCACTGCAGGGAGCCTAAGTTCATGGGCTTCCCCCTCCCTGGATAGATGGTAGATGTCAAAGGAGCTCTGGGAGCTGCAGGACAAGGTCACGTTCTCTCCTGCGCGAACCGTGGGGCCCGGCCGGGCTGTAAGCGAAGGTTTCTCATATAGACCTGGAAGGAGAAGAGGCAGTTTCCTCAGGGAGGTTCTTCCTTGTCACAGCTCCCCTCCCACCTGAGCTGAGAACTCACTGCCCTGCTCTATGGCCTAGTGCTCTCTCTCTCTCTCTCTCTCTCACCCTCCACCCCCAACTCTTCCTGTCGATCCCTCCCTATGTGGTTCCAGCCTGGTGGTGGCATCAGCAGTGCACCCTTGCTGATCTCAGGGTAGCCAACCTTCTTGTTTGGTTTTTTAACTTGTCCTTCACCTGGGTTCCTGTGTTGGTTTCCTGATGTTGCTGGAGAAAATTATCACAAACATGGCGGCAGGAGAGAACACACTGACCCCTTCCACTTCTGGAGACAGAAATCAGACCCTGTTCTTCCTGGGCTACAATCAAGGCATCTGCAGGGCTGCATTCCCTCTGGAGACTCGGGAGAATCAGTTCCATTGATTTCTCCAGCCCCTTCGTGGCTCGTGGTCTTCCTCCACCTTCAAAGCCCACAGTGGCTGGTGGAGTATCCCACGATGCTGCTCTAATCCCCATTCTCCTCTTCCTTCTCCACTCATATGGACCCTTGTGATTACACTGAGCCCAGTGGGAGGGTCCAGGCCATCTCCCCATCTCAAGGTCAACTCATCAACAACCTGAGCTCCATCTTCCCCTTCAGTCCCCTGCCCTATAACATAGTCACAGGCTCCAAGGATTACAATGTGGCCATCGATGGGGACAGTTATTCTTTCCAACACAGCACCCATTCCCCTGTATTCAATCCCCCTTTACCCCAAATATAGTTGGGGCCTGGATGATCGGACTCTGGTGGACACCCCCACCAGAAGCTCTGGGACTCAGGAGGTGGGACAAGGAGAAGCCCAGACAGGAGCCCTCTGACCTGTGACCATGATCACCAGGGGGTTGCTGGGTGCCGACCACTCAGTGGGGGAGTGCGGGTGAAAACCTCGACATCTGTAGGTCCCTGCGTGTGCTGGGGTCACAGGGCTAATGAGGAAACTGTTCCAGAATATTCTGTTGTAGAGCTCAGGGACAGGGACCCCATCTTTCTTGTACAGCGTGAAGATGTTAAACCCACGACGACAGTGACACCGAAGAGTCACGTGTCCTCCTTGAGGCACCACAGCGCTGGGCCAGGCAGAGCAGAAGGGCTTGTCCTGACCACCTTGGGGAGAAGGAGATGCCGCCTCAGAGAGGAGTATGTTGAGCTGCCCCTCCCTCCCTGTGCTCAGAAGATTCTCCCCATTTCTTCTTTCTAAGGCTCCTACCACACCTGGGTGCCTGGGGCTACAGGAAGGACCCATCCCGCATAGACGTGGCGTCTCCCTACAACAAAAGTGTCAGTTGAGAACTGAGCAGGTGCTGAGTAAGGGACTCTTACTAGATTTTAATACTGCAAGATTAGTTACACCAAACAACACAAAGTAGACATGGGGTGGAGGGTATGACCTTTGTGAATGGAATATTAGCTAATGCCTGAACCACAATAAACAACTGAGCTCCATCAGAGGATTTGGAATGGCAGGGTCGTGGCTGTGGTTCCCCCACCTCTTCTGGCAGAATGACAGCAGCCACACTGCAGCCCCTACCGTCATGGAAACGCTGGAGGGTGTGAGTTACCCTCTTGTCCTCAGAGGACCTGCTGTTCCTAACACTGCTACCCTTCCCTCCTCTGTCGGTGACACCACATCCCCCCACACACCCCAGCTTTGAGCACCTCAGTATCCCGCCTGGGCCACACAGAGCTCAACTCAGCCATGGGGAAGAAAGGCTGGGGAGGGCTAAGACAAAACAGAAGGCTGAGCATACCAGGATCTCCTCTTACTAGTTCATGAGAGACTCCCAGGATCTCCTCTTACTAGTTCATGAGAGACTCCCAGGATCTCCTCTTACTAGTTCATGAGAGACTCCCCCCAGGCCTTCCCATGGTCAGCCCATCAGCCCACCCTCTGTGCTGCCTCCCTCCCATTTCCGGAAAATTCACTTGTATTGGGGTGAAGATGGCAACCCATCATTTGGGGAAGGACTCACCCACGTGTGCCCACACACTCTGGTCCAAGAAGAACCCTGCAAAGAAAGATCATGAGGAACTATTCATCTCGGCAGCAACCTACCCTTTCCTCCTGAGCCACTGGGCGCCACGCTGGACTGAAAATTAACTCATCCTCACCACTCACTTGCTTCAGAACATGGCTCTCTGCTGGGGAGACACCCAATCTGCAGGCCCATAGTGTAACCCTGGTGCTCCTTCCCTTCCAGGACTCACCAAGACATGCCAGGATGATGACCGTGGGTGACATGGACATGGTGCAGCTTCTGCTGCCAGGACGCAGTGACTCGGCTCGACTGACCGGTGCAGAGGATGTGGTGAGGGGCCCGGATCGTGCAGTTGACACATTGACCACAACATGTGAAGGGGACATAGGTAGGCTTCTTCTACGTCATATGAGGTTCAAGTGGTGAATCAGTCAAGGGAGGAATGAGGGTTTCTGAAAACTGCAGACTAGACTTGTCACTTCACATCATGCGCAACGGCCAGGCTCAAAACACATCTCAGACTCACTTACCCCTGCACGGGACGATTGAATTCTGCACTCACATGAGGAACTTTTGATGTATTTTTTTTTGTTTCTACCTGAGATTCAAACTCTCCTTGATATGTAATATGCAAAATACCTAATAGGTTTTATTAACACTATAGAGCAATCGTATTAAATAAATCATCATAATTTTCCATGGTTGTATTTTTCCTGTTAAGCCAGAAACAGATAAAATGATTTAAATCCCAGTAGAAAAGACTATATAGTTATTTCGCATCATAGAATTCCACCTTATTAGCAAAAACACAATATGTCAATTGAAGGTCTGGTCGTGTTATCTAGAATTTGTCTTATGACACAAGAGTCCAAATTCACAGTTCCCTGTCTCCCTTTTTGTCTCTCTGTAACGTGTGCTTTTTTTCTCCCTGTGTTGTTTGTGTGTCTTTCTTTCTCTCTCTCATTTGAGGAAAAAATATCAGACTGATAACATCCTCCAACTTGATACTGGAATATTGCAATAACTGAAGGTTGAAATCTACACATTTAATGTGCTGTCATTCTTACAAATGTCTCTTATTTACACCTACCTTTCTGGAGTTTGTAAGAACTTTTTCACTATGCATTTTAAATTTGTAAAACTCATAATTTTTAAAAAGGGATGGGTCTCACTGTTTGCCCAGGGTGGCCTTTACTCATTCTATAAGGCTGGCATCACCCTGATACTAAAGACAGAAAAGAACATTAAACAAAAGAAAACTACATGCCAATATTCCTGATGAACATAGAGGCAAAAATCCACAAAAAATACTAAGAACTGAATCCCGCAGCATATCAAAAAGTGAATCCACCATGATCAAGTCAACTTTATTCTTAGGGTGCAAGGTTGGTTGAACATACACAATCAATACATGTGATTCATCACCTAAACAAAACTAAAAACAAAAACCACATGATCTTCTCAACACACATGTAGAACATACTTTTTACTAAGCATTTCTTCATGTTAAAAGCCCTCAACAAGCTAAGCATTGAAGAAACATAACTCAATATAATAAGAGCCGCCTGTGACAAACCCACAACCAACATCATACTGAATGAGTAAAAGCTGGAAGAAGTTCCCTTCATAAGTGAAACAAGACAAGAATGCCCACTCTCACCATCCTATTCAACATAGTACTTGAAGTCCTAGACAGAGCCATCAGGAAAGAGAAAGAATTATAAGGCATCCAAGTAAGAAGAGAGTAGCAGAGAGAGGTAGTCAAATTACCTCTGTTTGAAGATGAGATAATTTCTATACCTAGAAACCCCATAGTCTCTGCCCAAAGGCTCCTACATCTGAGAAACAAACTTCAGCACAGTTTAAGGGCAGAAAGTCAATGTACAGGCTGGGTGTGGTGTCTCAGCCTGAAATCTAGCACTTTGGGAGGGCGAAGCGGGTGGATCACCTGAGGTCTGGAGTTCGAGACCAGCCTGGCCAACATGGCGAAACCCTGTCTCTACTAGAAACACAAATATAGCCGGACGGGGTGGTACGCAACTGTAGTCCCAGCTGCTTGGGAGGCTGAGTCAGGAGAACCGCTTGAACCTGGGAGGCAGAGGTTGCAGTGAGCGGAGATCACGCCATTGCACCTCAGCTTGGGCAACAACAGTGAAACTGCATCTCAAAAAAAAAACCAAAACAAATTTAATTAATGAGGAAAAGGGTATTTGTGGTGTCCATCATGATGTTTTCATATAGGTACACATTGTGGAATGGATGAAACAACCTCTTTATCATATTTATTTTTTCACATACTTGTATGTTTTGTGTGTGTGGTGAGAACATGTAAAATCTAATCTCTTAGTAATGTTCAATACACCATATGTTGCTATTAACTGGAGTCACCAAGACATACAATAGATCTCTTGAACCGATTTCTTCTAACTGAAATTTTGCATCCTTTGACCAACATCTCTTCAATCTCTCTCCATCCCAGGTTCTTTCGACGACCATTTTACTGTTCCTCTAGGTTCCACTTCTTACACTCCACACATGAGATCATGTGGCATTTGTCTTTCTGTGCCTGGATTGTTTCCCTTAACATAATGTCCTCTAAGTTTTTTCACATTGTCACAAATGAGAGGACTTCCTTCTTTGTTGTAAAGGTTGTATAGTACTTCATTACGTTCCTATCGTATACCACGTTTTCTTTGTCCATGCACCCATAGATGGGCAGTAAGGGTGATTCCACATCTTGGCTGTTATGAATAATGCGGCTGTAAACATGGGAATGCAGATATCTCTTCAACATACTGATTCCACTTCCTTTGGATACATGCGCAGTAGTTGGATTGCAGACACATATGGGAATTCTATGTTTAATTTTTTCAGGAACTTCCAGACTGTTTTCCATAATGGTTGTGCTAATTTACATTCCCATCAACTGCATACAAATGTTCCCTTTTCTCCACATCCTCGTTAACCCTTGTTATTTTTTATGTTTTTGATAATGGTCTTTTTTTTTTTTTTTTTTTGAGACTCAGTCTTGCTCTGTCACCCAGGCTGGAGTGCAGTGGCACAATCTCGGTGTACTGCAACCTCTGCCTCCTGGGTTCAAGCGATTCCCCTGCCTCAGTCTCCAGAGTAGCTGGGACTACAAGTGTGCGCCACCAAACTCTGCTAATTTTTGTATTTTTAGTAGGGATGGGGTTTCACCATATTGGCCAGGCTGGTTTCGAACTGCTGACCTCAGGTAATCTCCCTGCCTCGGCCTCCCAAAGTGCCTGAATTACAGGCATGAGCCACCATGCCCAGACTGTTAATGGTCATTCTAAGAGGTGTGAGGTGATATCTCATTCTAGTTTTAATTTTTATTTAGCTGATGTTTAGTAATGCTAATCATTTTTTCATATACCTTTTGGTGATTTGTCTTATTCTTAGAAATGTTTATTCAGATACTTTGCCCATTTTTTTAAGTTGGGTTATTTGATTTCTTACTATTGAGTTGTTTGAGTTTCTTATATATTTTGGATATTAATTCCTTATTAGATGTATGGGTGCAAATATATTCTCCCATTCCATAGGTTGTCTTTCCACTTGTTGAGTTTTTTTTTTCTTTGCAGAAACTTTCAATTTGATATAATGTTATTTGTCTACTTTTGCTTTTGTTGCCTGGGCCTTTGGGTTAATATCCAAAATGGTTTTGCCCAAGCCAGTGGAGTTTTCCCTTGATTTCTTTTAGTAGTTTTTTTTTTTTTTTTAAGATGGAGTCTCACTGTGTTGCCCCGGCTGGAGTGCAGTGGTGCGATCTCGGCTCACTGCAACCTCTACCTCCTGGGTTCAAGTGATTCTCCTGTCTCAACCTCCCGAGTAGCTGAGATTACAGGCACCCACAACCACACCCAGCTGTTTTTGTATTTTTAGTAGAGGCGGGATTTCACCATGTTGGCCATGCTGGTCTTGGAATCCTGACCTTAGGTGATCTGCCCACCTTGGCCTCCCAAATTGCTGGGATTATAGTCTTTCATCTTACATTTAAGTCATTAATCTATCTTGAGTTGACTTTGTATGTTTTGTGAGGCAAATGTCCACTTCCATTCTTCTGCATGTGGACATGCAGTCTCCCAATCCCATTTATTAAAGAGACTGTTCCTTCTCCATTGTGTGTTCTTGACACATCCCAAAAATTGTTTGACCCTAAATGCATGCATTTTTTTCCTGGGCTATGAATCACTTCCATTGGTCTATGTGTCTGTTTTTATGCAAGTACTGTGTTGTTTTAATTACTGTAATTTTGTAATGTAGTTTGTGTTTAGGTAATGTGATGCTTCCAACTTTGTTCCTTTCCCTCTAGATGGCTTTGGTTATTTGAGATCTTTTGTGGTTCCACATGAATTTTAGGACTGTTTTTTCTATTTCTGTAAAAAAAATGTCATTGGATTTTTGATAATGGTTGCATTGAATCACTTTGGATAGAATGGACATTTTAACAACATTAATCCTTCTGATCCGTGAACATGGAATATCTTTCGATTTATTTGTTTATTTCTTGAGTTTTTTCATCAATGTTTTATAGCTTTTGCATACAGATCTTTCTACTCCTTGGGTGAATTTATTCCTGCATGTTTTGTTTTCTGTAGTTATTGCAAATGGGCTTATTTTCTTGTAAACTTTTTTGGATAGTTTGTTGTTAATGTATAGAAACTTTGTTGTTGTTGTTGTTGTTGTTTTGATGATACCCATCCTAAGGGGTATGAAATGGCATCTGGTGTAGTTTTAGTTAGTATTTCCCTAATGATTCGTGATGCTGAATATCTTTTCATGCGTATGTTCTTTGGAGAAATGTCTGTTTCAGTACTTTGCCCATTTTTGAATTGAGTTTATTGTGATTGAGTTTTAGGAGTTGTCTGTATATTCTGGATGTTAATCCCTTACAGGTGGTGTGGTTTGAAAACATTTTCTCCCATTCTGTGGGTTGTCTTTTTACTTTGATAATATCGTCTTAAAAGTTCTTTTTCCTTGCCATGTGAAGTAACTGATGTTGTCTTTTGAGTCACAATATTTCAAAATTTTCATAAAGTCTAACTTGTTTATTTTTTCTGTAGTAGCCTGTGCCGTTGTTGTCACATCTAAAGAATCACTGCCAAATCCGATGTTGTGAAGTTTTCCTTTGTGTTTTCTTCTAAGACTTTAATTAAATTTTATTTGTCAATATTTAGGACTGACAAAAGCTTTTTAACATTCCTGGCACCATCTCAGTTATTGATCTACTCCCAAGATGGATCATTTCAATTAAAACATGTAAAGCATGACCTCACCTGAATGTGTTTGAACTTGCTCTTCTCCCTTTCAAATCGACTCCCTCACTTACATAGTTTGTGTTCAAATGTCAACAAATAAAACATAAAAAGAAATCAATCTTTTCATAGACCCTTTATCTAAAATAGAATAGTAGGTGCCATGACATTTCATCCTTTCATCTTGAATTATTTACTTTTCTACATGAACCAATCCATTCTTCTGTGTGCATGTGTGTGTGTGTGTGTGTGTGTAGTTTATCTGTCTACATATAATGTAAACACCAAAAAATAACAGACATTTAGTAATTTTCAAATGAGACTTCAGGAATTAACAATGGCTTGCCATTTTTAGTGTGTTATTATTATTATATTTAGATGAACAGAATTGCCTCAGGAACATGGCCAGGGGCTCATAGTCCAGGAGAACTGTGGCCTGACTCAGGTACATTTTACCTGCAATAACAGCAATTGCAGGTCACTGGAGTCCATCACAATTGGCTGGAGACAAATGTAAGACAAGAATATTTGCAGTTTCCCCAGACTGACACAGTTGCAGGTTCCCCGAAGTAATGAGTCCTGAGACACCTCCAACAAGAGCTAGAAAAGGTATCACTTCAAGAGGAGTTGCAGCCTACTCATTTTAGACAAATGGAGCAAAATTACAGTATCACATCTTTTCCTTTCTCCTTCATAGAATCTGGATGAACAGAACAGAAAGAGTTAATGGAATATAAGATTCCAATTCTCTGGCATGAGAAAATAGACAAGGAAAGGAAGATTCATCTTCATCACATCTCAGACATGCTTGGACACAGGGTCCAAGCACAAAAGAGAAACACATACTTCTTCCCATCCACACTGGGATCCAGGGTCTTCTCCCTCCTGTCAGGCCAGAACTGAGTCTCCACTCCCCAATTTAGTTCCCAGAGATGAAGCCCAATTTTCCTCTGTCTCAAGCTTTGAAGGCCAGCTTTAGCGTGTTCACCATGGATGAATGAAGGTGAGGTCAGAGGTTTGGGAAATGGTCAAGAATGAGGTGAGAAGAGAGCTGTGGAGGCATGGCCCCGGGGAGCTTGGTACCCCCCCATATCCAGAGCCTGTCTGGTCCAGGAGAGTTCCCAACCCTGTGAGCACCAACTCCGGATATTCTGGGCAGTGACCCGAGGGACAGCCTCTTATGAATACAGGCTGTTTTCCTCCAGTGTCTGCTGTGAAACCAGGATGTACAACATGGCCGTGTTCAACCCAACAATGGACTTAGGATTTTGCTGTACGCCAAAACTCAGTGTCCAACTTCCACTCTGTTTAGCTGGAAAAAGAAGGGGTTTGTTCCCATACATCTCACTCCTGTGTTCCTCTTTCAGTCTCAAAGCTCAGATGAAAACAATGAGTGTCACTTATTGTCAATCCTCTTCCCTGCCTTTTCCACACTCATCAGTATTACCGTTTACATTGAGACTAAAGATGGCCAATCACCACTTTTCTTCGGAAAAATCAACCTGATGTTGTACCTACTTTTTTAGAGGTGGAATCAACCTACCCTAAGATGCCAACTACATTTTACTGAATGGACTTTTGTGGATCCCCTCGATGTATATAGTGGCACCTTGAGGTATCATCCCTGTCTTTAGCAAATGAATATTATCCCAAGGACAATATTTCATCACAATTATTCGGGATGGACGAGTGGATATTGTGGTAGCAAGAACATTACTAAAAGTCACAGCTGATACAACACACTTGAAACCCATCTGGCCAATCTCCCACAGACAGAATGTCGCGCCATTCACTCCAGCCAGCTTCAGTCATGTTTCTTCCATTTCCACCTGTGGCCCCTCATGTCTCCACCAGGTCTTAGCCAGCATTGCCAAAAGAGCCAGGAAGACCAGACCAGCCACAACAATCCTGATGGAACTCTCCACAGTATAGTTCTGGAGAACAGGGGCTGGAGGGTGGGGGTAAGATCAGAGACCTTTCCATGTGGGCCAGGCCCCTCTCTCCCCAGAAGCTCTGAAATGGAGCTATTTCCCCATCTCACCTTCATAAAATTCTTCCTGTCCAGAACCCCTCTTCTCCCTATATCATCATGAGCACCTTCAGAAGTCTTTTGCCACAAAAAGAAATTTCTTTTGAAGATATACATTTTTTTGTACATTTCAAAAATGTTCCCAAACTAATTCTCCAAAGCAATAAATGTTTGTGTGTATTGCTGGGTAGGTTATGCATACAAGGAAAGGAAGCATAGTGAGTCTGATTTGGCAGAGGAAACATATGTGGAAATTATATCATTTACTCTCTTTACAAAATTAAGTACAAAATTGAAAACACTGGTAAGAAAGAATGAGCTATAGAGAAAGAAAACATCTGAGATGCTTGTTTCCAAGATGGCTGACTAAATGCTTTTCTGGCATGTCTCATCCACTTAGAAGAACGAGCAGAATCCAGAACAAAAACCATATGATCATCTCAATAGACATAAAGAAAAGCATCTGAAAAGAAATTCAACATCCTTACCTGATGAAAACCCTCAAAAACTTAGGCATAGAAAGAACATACCTCAAAATAATAAAAGCCATAGATGACATATCTAGAGTCAACATCATACTGAACAGGAAAAGTTAAAAGCACTCCTCTGAGAACTGGCACAAGACAAGGACACGGACATCCACCACTTCCTATCAACATAGTACTGGAAGCCTTGTCAGAGCTATTGGGCAACAGGAAGAAGTAAAAATCCAAATTAGAAAAGAGGAAGTAAAATTATTTTTATTTCTGATGCTATGATCTTAAATCTAGAAAATCCTAAAGACCCTGCCAAAAATTCTTATGATTGATAAATGAACTAAGTAAAGTTTCAGAATACAAAATCAATATGTAAAAGCCGGTAGCATTTCTCTACACCTATAATGATCTAGCTGAGAACCAAATCAAGAAGGCAATGCCGTTTACAATAGATACGCAAAATTAAAACACTCAGGAATACATTTAACCAAGGTGGTGAAAGATCTGTACCAGGAAAGGTGTAAGACACCAATGAAAGCAATTATAGATAATACAAAAAAAAAAAAGAAAAAAAATCCCACGCTCATGGATCATAAGAATTAATATTGTTAAAATGACCATACTGCCTAAAGCAATCTACAGATTCAGTGCAATTCTTATATGAAAATAGTAACACCAGTTTTCACAGAATTAGAAAAAGCAATCCTAAAATTCATACAGAACCAAAAAAGATCCTAATAGAGAAAGCAATTCTAGGTGAATGTAGAAACCTGGAGGCATCACGCTATCTGACTTCAAACTATGCTCTAAGGCTATAGTAACTTAAATAGCACAGTGCTGGTATAGACACAGAAACAGAGATCAATAGACCAGAATAGAGAGCCCAGAAATACAGCCTCATATCTACAGTGAATAATCATTGACGACGTTAACAAAACATACCCTGGAGAAAGATTTCCTTTTCAATAAAAGGTGCTGGGAAAACTAAATAGCCATATGCAGAAGAATAAAACTGGACCTGTATCTGTAATCATACACATAAATTAACTTAAGGTAATTAGCAGCTTAAATGTAAATCCAGAACTATAAAATCACCGGTGGAAACCCAAAGAGAAACTCTTCTGGGCATTGGTCTGGGCAAAGAATTCATCACTAAGACCTCAAAAGCACAGGCAATAAAAATAAAACTAGACCAATGGGACTTAATAAACGAAAGAGCTTCTGCCAAGCAAAGGAAATAGTAGCAGGGTGAACAGACAACCCACAGAATGAATGGAAATGTTTGCAAACTATGCACCCAACAGGGGACTAACATCCAGAATTTCTAGGCAACTCAAACAACTAAACATAACCCCTCAAATAATAGCATTAAAAAGTGGGCAAAGGGATATACATAGACATTTTTCAAAAGAAGACATACGAATGGCCAAACAGCGTATGAACATCACTAATCATCAGAGAAATGCAAATTGAAACCACAATGAGATATCATCTTACAGTAGTCAGAATGGCTATTACTAAAAATGCTGGTGGGGAGTGGTGGCTCACGCTTGTAATCCCAGCACTTTGGGAAGCTGAGGCGGGTGGATCATGAGGTCAGGAGTTTGAGACCAGCCTGACCAACATAGTGAAACCCCATCTCTACTAAATATACAAAAGATTAGCTGGGCATGGTGGTGTGGTTCTGTAATCCCAGCTACTCAGGAGGTTGAGGCAGGAGAATCATTTGAACCTGGTTGGTGGAGGTTGCAGCGCGTGGAGATGGCGGCACTGCACTCCAGCCTGGGTGACAGTGGAAGACTCCATCTCAAAAAGAAAAAAAGAAAAAGTGAAACATATAACAGGTGTTGGCAAGGATGCAGAGAAAAGGAAACTCTTATACACTGTTGGCCGGTATGTAAATTAGTATAGCCTCTATGGAAGACAGTATGGAAATTTGGCAGAGAACCAAAAATAGAAGCACCATTCGATCTAGGGGTCCCGCTGCTGGGTATCTACTCAAAAAATATCTGCACCTGTATGTTTATTGCAGCACTGTTTGCAATAGCAAAGATATGAAATCAATCTAAGTGTCTGTGAATGAATGATTGGATTAAAAAAAGGATGCGTGTATACACAACGAAATACTATTTGGTCATAAAAATAAAACCATGTCTTTTGCAGCAACATAGATGGAGCTGGACGCCATTATTTTACATAAAACCACTCAGAAAGACAAATACCACATCTTCTCACTCTACATGGGAGGGGAGTAATGTGTACATATGGACGTAGAGTGTGGAATGACGGACAGCGGAGGCTAGAAGGCTGGAGGGTGGCGGGACGTGGGTGAGTGATGAGAATTTGCTTAATGAGTACAATGTACGGTATTTGGGTGATGGATATAGTAAAAGTCCTGACTTCACTACTCTGCAACATACTCATGTCACAAAATTACAAGTGTACCTCATAAATTTATACTAATAGAAAAGAAAGTCTGTACACAGTAATCAATTGTGATATGTAGATAAAGTCAATATTAAATTTAAACCAGAATAACTAGTTAAAATGTTGTGTACACAACAGTGAAGAGAGTATTTATCCTCTATGACAGAGGAAACCATCAATATTAATGCACAGAAAAAGCAAATAACTGAAACAAGAAAGAGCAGTTTTGTGACAGGGTAAAAATTGACAACAGTTTTAGAATGCTCCTAACTTGAGTTCCAAAAAGAAAGAACGAGAAAACAGGTCAGAAGCAATCTTTAAAGAGGCAATTGTTGATTATTTGGAGGAAGTAGACACATCCATCAATCCACAGGTTCAAGAAATCCAGTGAATGCCAGGCAGAATGAAGTAAACACACCTCACGTTCAACATTACAGAAAAGCAGCATAAAAGCACAACCAACCCTTAAAATTAGCCAGAGGAAAAGGATCAGCTGGTAAGGATTTATAGGGAGCCAAGCATTGTCTTCCCCACAGAAAAAAGGAAAACATAAGCCAGTAGAATAGCATCTTTACCCAGCTAAGATACCGTCGCCAGCCACCGACAATTCCTTACATAGTACAGTTACTGTCCAAGATCAACGCAGGAAAGAAACAGAACTGAAAGACAAAAGGGCAAAGAAAGCTTTTCTCACTGACCCTAAAGGAAATTCTGATGACCGTGCCTCAAAGATAAAGAAAGTGAAACCAGATGGGGTGTCGAAGATTCTGACAATAACTAAGAGCAGAGGAAGAACTAAAAATATGGCTATGCCAAAAATGAATATGGACCATACGATAGTGTATGAAAACATGCCCCTGTGTAATTTCTGAAAAAGATAGAATTATGTATACCACAAAACAAAACATCATATAAGTAAATACAAACATATGTACTAAATATGCTCTAAAATCCTGTTCTTACACAGGAAGAGTGGAAATATGTTTTTATATTTGCAGTTTAATCTCTGAAATGATTAATTTCAATTTTAAAAATATGTAACAACTTCAGGATGAGTACACCATATATGTATTCCTAAACGACATAGATCAAAAATAGAATGTTTGAAATAGAAAACCACAGAAGTCAGTGGGAAAAAAAGGGAATCAGGAAAACACAACGTAATAATAACAAAAATATGATTGGAAGAACTGCTCAAACATGAACAAAAGATTGTCAGAAAGTCTTACTTTCTAAGGCGAATTGTTTGAAATTTACAAAGGACACATCTCAATGTTAACAATTCATGGAGTTTGAAATTAAACAATGTAGAAATATACCAAGCAATCACTGTTAGAAATGTGGTATAACTATATTAAAATTAGACAAAATTAGTCTTTGGGAAAAATCAGCGGAAAACATTAAGCATAAAATGTAGGAAAAAAGCAGGTAAATTTATAGCATTTTAAATTTACCAGGAATATATAATCAGTTTACACTTAACCACTCCCAGTAATATTCCTGCAAATATACATGGAGGAAGAGTCGCGGAAATAAATGGACAGGTAGGCAAATCCACGGCCACAGTGGGGTGTTTAACACTCCTCTTTTCTCAGTTGTTGATAGAAGTGGTTCAGGCAATTAGAGAGGATTTAGAAAGATAATTGCTGGACCTGACCCAAGGTATAAGTCCACTCCCAACCACAGGACTCACTTTCCTTACAAGCACAAGGGCATTTAGAAATCTCTCTGGATTCTGACCAGCCCTCACCATATGGCAGGTCCATGGACTTCTTGGAACACACCAAGCTCATTCTCACATTAGGGTCATCCCCAATGTCCTAAGTCCATGAAAGTTCCTTTCAACACACTCCCCAGGGCTCACTCCCTCTTGTCTCTAAGATCGGAGTTTAAATGTGATCTCTCTGATGAGGTCTCAGTGAGACGTTCCCTCCTGTACACTCCAAATGACAACGTTCCACGTTCATTCATTTCATTCTGTGCATGGCACTTTCACCAAGTGCTAAGGATTCACTCACTAATTCATACATTCATTCATTCATTCATTCACTCATTCCATCATTCACTCATTCATTCATTCTCTCATTCATTCATTCATGTTCTGCCTCTCTCTCCCACCCCACAGCAATGTGAGCATCATGAACCCAGGAGCTTGGCCGTGCTGTCTACTCCTGGCCATGAAACAGAGAGAACTGATGGTAGGTGTGAAATAAATATTAGATGAATGAGTTAGTGAAGGGGTCATTTACTGGGTGAGCTCAGTTCTCTCTACTCTAATGCCCTCCCTCGGCTGACTTCCCTGAGTTGCCCCCTCGGCTGAGTGAAGTCCCTTCACTGGCAAATGGAACCTCAACCAGTAGCACCTAGGTGGTCTCATACTTTGTTCTTTCCCTCTCCTCTTGCTCCCTAAGGATTATCAATCTCCATGACAGGGCTGGAGAGCAGACAAGCCACACATTCTTTCTGGGGAGAGAGTAACATGGAGTACAAGGCATTCCACATTTAGGAAGAGAACTCAGTTATGGAAGGTCAGAAATGAAAAGTTCCTACAGACCAACACCCAGGTTGGTGGCCACAGCCCTAAATGCTGATGGAGAATCACTGCAAGTCTGTAGGGAAGATGTCTGGCTTGAGGCCACTGAGCGAAGTGGCAGATCCTTCTCAGCCTTCAGTGCTGAGCCTCTGTCCCCTCAGGGATCCACTGACCAATGAGAAGAGCCTCTTCTCATCTCCTGGGATGGAGCTTGGGGCCCCTGGCGAAGGAATGGGCCTGTTTCCACCTGTCATGTTGTCATCTAGCTTGGAAATCCTGCGAGTCCCAGGGAGGCCCTCCCCGAGTCCCCAGAGAAGACTCCCCCACTGAGTCTCCAAGGTGTGGAGAGAGCAAAAAACATCTAGGGTGGAAAATGCCTCCCATCAAGAGACATTGGGGCTCCCCCAACGATGGTTGCATCTGTGCCCCCCATGTGGAAATCACTCTTTGGTGAGAGGTGGGGGCTTCTGGAAATGGGCAATGGCGGGCGGCCAATGCTACCTCTAGTCTTTCCAATCTGAGCCCGGCCTTTCATGCTCCTGAGTCAGCATTGATGCTGTTTACATGTGTCCCAGGTGGGCTTCTGTACAAAGACTGGGAAGTGGTTTATGTGGCCTGTGCTCTATCTGCAAGCTTCAGGTAGGGTTGCAGTTACCACCCCAAACCCTAATGTGATCTGTCTGCCTCGCTCTGTCTGTCTGTCTATGCCTCTTTCTGTATGTTTGCTTTGTGTCTCTTCTGTCCAGCATCTCTGGCTGACACCCCCATGGCCACCCCCTCCATCTGAGGCTCCCCTGAATGTGGCCATTGTAGTCCATCTGAGTCCCACTATTTGGGGAACAGACTGGTTTCCTCACCTGTGACAGAAACAAGCAGTGGGTCACTAAGGTCTGACCACTCGTAGGGAGAGTCACGGAAAGAGCCGAAGCATCTGTAGGTCCCTCCGTGGGTGGCAGGGCCCAGAGGAAAGTTGGCCTGGAAGGTTCCATTGACCTTGGGCACTGCAGGGAACCTAAGTTCATGAGCCTCCCCCTCCCTTGATAGATGGTAGATGTCATAGGAGCTCCGGGAGCTGCAGGACAAGGTCACGCTCTCTCCTGCCTTAACCATGGGGCGCGGCTGGGCTGAGAGAGAAGGTTTCCCACATAGACCTGGAAGGAGAAGAGGCAGTTTCCTCAGGGAGGTTCTTCCTTGTCACAACTCCCCTCCCACCTGAGCTGAGAACTCACTCCCCTGCTCTATGGCCTAATGCTCTCTCTCTCTGTCTCACCCTCCACACCATCTCTCTTTATGTCTATTTCCTCTTTCCACCTTCTCTGTCTCTCTAGGTCTCTGACCTCACTTTCTCACCTCTAGATATGTTTTCCCTTTTTGGATTGTTTTATTCTCTCTGACTCTCCTTGGACTAGTTGACTTGATGTTACTTTTTTTAAATTCTGAGTTTCTCACTTTGTGTCCTGTTCATAACTTTCTGCATATTTCTATCTATTATCTATTGATATATCTATTTATCTATTTGGTGCCTATCTACAAATTCTCTACCTGTCATCTATATCTATATATAATCTATTTATCTATCAATTGTCTATCCAAAAATCATCTATTATCTATATCTATGTATCGTCTCTCTCTCTCTATGATTTCTCTTTGTCTGCCTCTCTATCTCTATGTATTATCTATCTTCATCTTCATCATCTCTATGTATCATCGATTAATCAATGAATGAATCAATCATCATCTATGTATCTATAACCTATTATCTATCATCTACCTATTTATCATCTATCTATATCTATCCATCTATCATCTGTCTTGCTCTGCCTCTCGGTCTCTCTAGTTCTCTTTGGAATCTCTGCAATTCATCCCCACATCTCCATCTTTCTATGTCCTTGTGTCTCTCCCTCAGGACTCTAATTTTAGTGCTTTTCTCTGTTCCCTTCCATTGTTCTCTCCACTTCTCTGCCCTCTTTTCTCCCTCTTTATGTGTCTGTGAGTCTCTCAATCTCCTTCCTCTGGCTCATTCTCTGTGTGTTTATGTCTTTGCTTTTTGGTGTCCCTGATTTCTCTCTGTGTCTCTCAGTGATCCTCTCATATGTGGGGTTATTTGGAATGTGAGCCTCAGAATCCAGTCTGGGGACCGCAAGTTCACACAGTATACAGGGGTTGATGTTCTGGGGCCATGATATCCTGGGACGATTACTCTCCATTGCATGGAAGGCAGAGGTGTCAGAATAAACACGGCATCTGTAGGTGCCAGAAGGCCTGAGGCCACAGGGCCCAACTCAGGCCAGAAATATGGGTGTCCTTGGGTTCTTCTGGTAGAGAACACTTTGTGGAAGTAAAACAGAAATGAAACTTCTAACCTGTGCCAGGTCTCTGAGCAAAGTCAGCATGGAAGGACACCTCTCTCTGGCACATGTCTGTCTGTGTCTCCTTTAACTCTTTCTGTCTTTTCTAACTCCCTGTATGGCCCCTGTGTCTGTCCTCTGTTATGACACCTGGTCTGTACTTGTGTCTCCTGTTTCTCTGTCTCTGTTGGTACAGACCTCACCAAGTTAGTCTCTCTCCATAAGAATACCAAGCTCATCTTCCTTATAACCACCTGGGCCTCCAAGTCGTGGATCATTCACTCTGTGTCCCAGTGACAATGAGAATAATGTCCAGACACTCTCACCTGTAATCACGATGTCCAGAGGGTCACTGGGAGCTGACAACTGATAGGGGGAATGAGGAACAGAACCGTAGCATCTGTAGGTCCCTGCAAGGTCTTGCGTCATGCGACCGATGGAGAAGTTGGCCTTGGAGACCCCATCATGGAGCTCTCCAGTGAGGCGCAAAGTGTCATTAAACTTCCCCTCTCTGTGCAGAAGGAAGTGCTCAAACATGACATCTGACCAACATTGCAGGATGACTGTCTCTTCTGATTTCACCAGGGGACCTGGGTGGGCCAGGAGGGAAGGTTTTCTGTGGACTCCTAGGAAGAGAAGTTGTGACTTTAGAAGGCATCTCTCTTTATCATCCCATCCATGGCACCTAGAATGAGTGAGGCTTCCCCTCGCTGGTGTCTTATCTCTCTCCTTCCTCTCTGTGTCTTCATGTTCTTTTCTGTGCCCATAACTCCTGGTACAGGTCCTTCCATCTGTCTCCCTCCCTCTTCTCTGTCCCTCTGTCTCTAGTAGCTCCTGATTCCCTTGACGCTGGGCTCAGCCTCATCTCTTGGGCTGTTGTATCTATTTCGAACTAATGTCTTTCCTGCTTCTATGTGGGGGTGGAAGAGGAACCAGGATAGGCTGCACGTCCAGGCTCTTAGCAGACTGGTTCAATCTCTTTTGGACGAATTGGAATCCTTGGCAGAAGGTATGAACTGATCAGTAAGGCAGGCACCAGTGTCCACACACCCTGTTCCTGGTGGGGACTGGGAGCCACTCTTGCCATGCCTGTGCCTTCTCCATGGTGCCAGCTTCCATAGGCTGGCTTCTGGTGCTGGTTTGAGGAGTATCAACCCCTCCCTATGTGGATGGAGCCTGGTGGTGGCATCATCATCCCACCCTTGCTGATCTCGGTGTAGCCAACCTTCTCTTTGTTTGGTTTCTTTAATTAATTAATTAATTTTGGAGTCAGAGTCTCACTCCTTCACCCAGGCTGGAGTGAAGTGGTGTGGTCTAGGCTCACTGCAACCTCTGTCTCCTGGGTTCAAGTGATTCTCCTGCCCTCAACCTCCTGAGTTGCTAGGATTACATGCACCTGCCACCACGCCCGGCTATCCTTGTGTCCTTTCTTATCTTGTCCTTGACCTGGGTTCCAGTGTTGGTTTCCTGTTGGTGCTGTAGAAAATTATCAGAAGCATGGCAGCAGGAGAGAGCACACTGACCCCTTCCGTTTCTGGAGACAGAAATCGGACCCTGTTTTTTGAGGGCTAAAATCAAGGCATCTGCAGGGCTGCGTTCCCTCTGGAGACCCAGGAGAATCAGTTCCTTGACTTTTCCAGCCTCTATAGGCCACCTGCATTCATGGCTCATGGCCTTCCTCCACCTTCAAAGCTGATGGAGACTTCCATTGCACTGCTCTAATCGCCACTCCCCTCTTCCTTCTCCTCTCATGTGCACCCTTGTGATTACACTGAGCCCAGCAGGACAGTCCAGGCTGTCTCCCCATCTCAAGGTCAACTCAACAACCTGAGCTCCATCTTCCCCTTCAGTGCCTTCCCCTATAACATAAATAGTCACAGACTGCAGGGATTAGAATGCAGTCATCATTGGGGACAATTATTCTTTCCACCACAGCACCCATTTCCCTGTATTCAATCCCCTTTTATCCCAAATACAGTTAGGGTCTGGATGATGGGACGCTGGTGGACACTCCCACCAGAAGCTCTGGGACTCAGGAGGTGGGACAAGGAGAATCCCAGACAGGAGCCCTCTGACCTGTGACCATGATCACCAGGGGGTTGCTGGGTGCTGACCACCCAGTGAGGAAGTGTGGGTGTGAACCCCGACATCTGTAGGTCCCTGCATGTGCTGGGGTCACAGGGCCTATGAAAACGGTGTTTCGGAATACTCTGTTGTAGAGCTCAGGGACAGGCATCCCGTCTTCTTTGGACAGACTGAATTCGTTAAACCCAAGACGAGAGCGACACTGAAGAGCCACATGTTCTCCTTCAGACACCACGGGGCTGGGCCAGGCAGAGAGGAAGGGCTTGTCCTGACCACCTGGGGGAGAAGGAGGCGCCACCTTAGAGAGGAGGATGTGGCACTCCCTCCCTCTATTCCTTTCCAGGACTCACCAACACACGCCATGCTGACGACCATGAGCGACATGGTGCTGCCGGTGCAGACAGGCGGCCGCGCCCCAGCTCAGCTCAGCAGCGCACAGGATGTTATTTGGCGCCCTGCCCATGCAGCTTACATGTTGACTACATCATGGGAGGGTGACGTACGCAGGCTCTTTCTACCTTGCATGAGGCCCAGTGGATGCTTGCTCAAGAGCGGAACACGGCTTCCTGGAAATTGTTCTCACTAGAATTGGCACCTCACGTCCTTCACTATGACCAACTCACAACACGTCTCAGATCCAACCTCCCGAACACAAGATGCCTAAAATCTGTGCTAACGTGAAAGACTTTTCATGTATTTTTATCCGAACACGAGATGCCTAAAATCTGTGCTAACATGAAAGACTTTTCATGTATTTTTTTTGTTTTTATCTGAGATTCAAACTCTTCTTCCTGTGTAATATGCAAAGTATCTAATAGGTATTATTAATGTTTTCGGAGTCATTGTGACTAATAAACCATTAGAATTTTTCATGCTTGTATTTCTAGTATTACAGCAGAACCAGCTAAAATGATTTAAATTCCCAGGGAAGGATTATGCAATTATTTACAATCTTCGAATTGTACTTTATCAGCAAAAACCACACCTGTAAATTCTGGAGTTTTGTAGTTTAATCTAAAATTTGTCTCATGACCCAAGATTCCAGAGTCCCAACTCTGGAGTTTGCTCTCTGTCTGTCTCTCTCCCTCCCTCGTTTTAAATTTTACAGAAATATCCAGTAACATAATGCTATAGAAAATCAAGTTTTCCCCAGCACGTTGGGAAGCCGAGGTGGGCAGATCAACTGAGATAAGGAGTTTGAGAGCAGCCTGGCCAATATAGTGAAACCGTGTCTCTGTTAAAAATCCAAAAATTAGCCGTGCCTGGTGGCAGGCACCTGTAACGCCAGCTACTCAAGAGGCTGAGGCACGAGAATCGCTTGAACCTGGGAGGCGGAGGTTGCAGTGAGCTGAGATTGTGTCACTGCAGTCCAGCCTGGGCGACAGAGCAAGACTCCGCCTCAAGAAAAAAAAAGCAAACAGCCTATAATAACAAATTAGAGGGCTCTGGCTACTAAATTTAAAGGGTTCTATAAGGCTACATAAAGTGCAGCATCATCAAGAGTGTGGACACAGAGAGCCCCTTAGCAGAAACAGTGTCTAAAATACATCCATGTACACACAGTCCCTTTAGAGTTGACAAAGGCTGCCGTGTGGTTTAAGGTGGCATAGAATGTCTTCTCAATAAATAATATTAAACCAATTGGTTACACCTAGGAAAAAATAAATCTAACTCACACTATAAAAACACTTCTTAGTTTTTATCTAGTTGTACATTTTTTATGATTTATATTTAAATTTGAGAAATAAAAGTCATATACGGTCATCCTTCACTATTCGTGGGTGATTGGTTTTGAGATCTCCACTCAGATACCAAAATCTGTAGATGCTCAAGCCTCTTATATGAAATGGCACAGCGTTTGCAAATAACCTATGCACATCCTCCTGTATACATGAAATCATCTCTAGATTACTTATAATTCCTGATACAGCCTACACACAGCTTCATTTGTGTCCATTCAACATAGTTATGCTTTTTGAAACTCTGTGGATACTTTCTCTCAATATTTTTGATTTATACTTGGTTCAATAAACACCTGTAAACCCCGCAGATATGGAGGAGTGACCGTATATTTATATTATGAAAGATGATGTGTTGATATGTGTCCCCATGGAGATGAGACTAACAAGGCCTATGATTCTACAAATGTTTCATTGTGGAATGACTCTGCCAGCTTTCCAGGTCTGCAGAGAGTAAGAGTATCACTTGTTCATATGATTCGTGATCCTTGGAACCTCCTATGTGCTACATCTTTGGATGGAAATTGGAGTCCCAGAGACAAATGAGGCTCCACCCTGCTTCCAGAAACTCAGAGTCCGGGGATGAGAACTCAGTGGGGAACAGATGGGATTATATGGACATGGTACTGATAACACCGGAAGCCTTAGGCAAGAAAAGAGTCCCATTACCGAAACCATGGGGGCAGACATGTTTATTTGAAGGATGGAAAACTACATTGAAGTTATTTTAAAAAATATATAAGTTTTACTGCTGACAGAAGACTGAAAGCTAGTCTGAGGGGAGGTGGAACAGCATGAGGGAAGGTGGAACAACACGTGTCTAAGTGCTGCGTTAAGAGGGAGCCTCTTGTATGTTTGGAATTGTGAGTTCCTCAGTGTGATTGCAGCCTCAAGTAGACTAGGAAGTAAGCCAGTTAGGTTGGAGAGGTGGGCAGGGGTCAAGTGAAATGGAGAACTGTGGGCTAAGCAAAGGAGTGTGTTTTTTCTCCAGCAGGCAGTGGGGACCTTAGACATTTGTAAGCAAGTGAGAGGCACATTCAGATTTGTGGTGTGAGGAAGAGCGATGCCCTAAGATGCAGACTCATGCCTTCAGATTCCAGCTGCTGGTACATGGGAGCTGGCAACCCGGTTTTGAGACAGGGCTGTTGTCTCCCTAGAAGACGCCCTCAAGGCCTGACTGTGGTGCTCATGGGCAGGAGACAACTTTGGATCTGGACTCAGCATTTGGAAGTTCCGTGTACACGATGATATCTGTTGGGGGTGTCTTGGGCCTCTGAGAAGGGCGAGTGATTTTTCTCTGTGTGAAAACGCAGTGATTCAACTGTGTGTATGTCACCTCCTGAGGGTCTTGTTCATCAGAGTCCTGGAGAGAGGGAAATGCTGAGTGAGGGAGGGTGCTCACATTTTCCAGGACTCTTTGGGAATAACAGTAGCCACGAGCCCGGGCCGAGGAGTACCTACCTCGCTATTCGCTGTTCTGTTTCCTGCAGACTCTTGGTCCATTACCGCAGCATCTGTAGAAGACGGAAGTCAACAAAACAGCTCGGAGGGCACTTCTGGGTCCTCATTTCATAAGCAGATACCAACATACAGGGGGAGACCATAGGTGGCTGAGGTCCCTCAGTTGCCAACAGCAGACTCAGACATTCTATCTCTCTGAGCTCAAGGACCCATCCCATGAATAGCTCTGAGTTCCCATCCCATTGATTCTGTCTCCCACTTTCTGCCTGTCATGGAACCTTCTCCTGGATGTGAGTGGCTGCAGTGGACATGAGGATACAGTTCAGAATCAGGCAACGGTCTGTGAGTTGAAGGCAGGGACAGGGAGTCTGGTGCCCTCTCTAGAAAGTCCTGCCTCTGTGGCTGCTGCCTTGGGCCAGGGACCATCCTGTTTGTGAGGAACACACACCTGAGTGCTCCCATCCTGCTTCCCCACATGGCCCTGAGCTCTCTGGCCTCTGCTTCGTGAGACTTACTTTTTTTGTTGGAGCACCAGCAATGAAGGAGAAAGAAGAGGAGGATGAAGAGGATGATGACCACTGAGGTCCCAATCAGAATGTGCAGGTGTCGGGGGTTACCTGGAAGAAGATGAGACACCAATAAGAAGCTAATCTTAGCAGTTCCTCTTTATGAATTGTCTCGCATTTCTTGATTGACAGGTAACCACATAAAACACCTCTTTAGGACAAGCACCCAGATAGCAGGAGACCCAGCTTTCTCCTGCTTTTTCAGTTATAGCTCTCATAGTAACCATAGAACGTGCTGAGGATACGACTACTTTAGTTGAGATGTTTGACCCCTTCAAACCTCACATTGAAATTTCACCCCCACTGTGGGAGGTTGGGCCTCTTGAGAGGTGTTTGGGTCATGGAGGTGGATCCATCATGAACACATCAATGCTGTCCCAAGGAGACGGGGTTAGCAAGTTCCCCCTCTATTAGTTCCCGGAGAGCTGGTTGTTAAAAAGAGCTTGGAAGCTCCATCACTCCCCCTCCCCCTTGCTCCCTCTCTTGCCGTGTGATCTCTGTGGTCTCTGCACAGACAGACCCTCCTTCCCTTCTGCCAGAGTGGGAGCAGCCTGAGGCCGTCACGAGAAATAGATGCTGGTGCCATGCTTCCAGTACAGCCTGCAGAACGGTGAGACAAACCAATCTCTTTTCTTTAGAAGTTACCGAGGCTCAAGTGTTCCTTTAGAGCAACAAAAATGGCCTAAGACAGCAACTTCCTGAGATCAGGAGGAACGTCTCAGAACAGCCTGGGCTGTCTTCCTGTTCTTCCTGGAGGAGGACGTCATGCAGTGCTTTAGCTGAGTGCT
Organism: Homo sapiens; assembly: GCF_000001405.40. NCBI lineage: Eukaryota > Metazoa > Chordata > Mammalia > Primates > Hominidae > Homo > Homo sapiens. The sequence goes on along the minus strand of NT_187675.1, from coordinate 125,190 downwards.
TCCTGTGGCTCCAGGGTACAAAACCCAGGCTGGGCTGCTTTCTGGCTTCCCGCAGCTACACTGCAAATGGGGTGACTCCATATGTCCCGAGGAGCTTTTCTGAGCCTTGAGGGACTGGGTCACATTGAAATATAGGTTTCTGTTGTCACTCGCTGCTTATCTGTTAGTAATGAACCTGCCTATGTAACGTATTCTCTGTGTGTTCTGTCTCCCTGGAGTGACGGTGAGTGATAGGAATTGGCATAGGCCCAGGTGCAGTCCAGGAGGTGTTTAGAGTCTTCTCTGGGAAGACTGGACTGGGATTGATTCACAGCGAATGTGCTTTAGGGTTTCTACATCCACAGCATTCTTGAATCAAACAACTTGCATTCTCCAAGGAAAGAAAACAAAAGTGAAATCAAGATAAAAAAAGCGAAATAGAATTCTCTTATGTCAAACGGCCAGGAAATAGTGTTGAAGCCCGTGTGAAACCTGCTGCTCTTTGTGATCTCGGGAGACACATATTAGGCTGCTGTTCTACCCGAGAGGCTGGGGGAAGGACCACCCCCTCGGCCATCTATTGCTTCAAAACCACCTGTCCTCCTGTGAATTAGTAGGAAAGGGGAGCAGGAGCTAGTGCTGTCGCTGATCTCTGATTCCAAGATCTGGACTCACTCCAAGGAGTGTTAATGTTTACCTCCCCATGGTCTATCTGAATCTCCACAGGTGATTGGAAGTAGGGGTGAGGTGGGGGATTTGGGTGAGTGGGCAAGTTTTTTTTGTGATGACCAGAGCACTTTCTCTATTCCAGGATCTGTGCTGGAGGATTCAGCGGGCTTTCACATTTTCTATGTGATCTCATGCTCACAGAAAGCCAAATAGGGAAGAGGTTTTAGGCTCATTGCCTAATGGATAAGATAAAGGATCAAAGAAGTAATTATAGAGAAATAGAAAAATCATGATTGGAATTCAGGTCCCTTTGTCATTTGCGTGTGTTATATTATATTTATATTTATGCATTTCTTATTTTTATTTTTTGAGACGGAGTCTCCTTGTGCCACCCAGGCTGGAGTGCAGTGATGCAACCTCCACTCACTGCAACCTCCACCTCCTGGGTTGAAGTCATTCTCCTGCTTCATCCTCCAGAGTAGGAGCTGGGATTACAGGGATGCACCACCATGCTCGGCTAATTTTTGTGTTTTTCCTAGAGACAGGGTTTCACCATGTTGGCCAGGCTGGTCTCGAACTGCTGACTTCATGTGATCCACCCGCCTTGGCCTCCTGCAGTGCTGGGTTACAGGCGTGAGCCACCGTTCACAGACTTGTATATTATGCTATAATAGGTCCCTTCATTTCCACCACCCCTCATATATCTGTCACTCCTTTGCCAGGTATTGATTTATGTGTAGGATGAATAAATCTCAGAAAGAAATTAATTAAGCGAGGATTAAACAAGTAGGAAAATCAAACCCAGTAAGCGTTTCCAGTCAATGATTCTACCTCACAAACATATCTTATATCCATCTACTTCATTCATTTAGTGTCTAAATCAGCACCACATTTCACCAGTGGGGCGGCAATTGCCTTTTCCACGGTCTCCTAGATTCCAGTTATGCAACTGAGCCTCCCTTATTTTCATGTCAGTCATATTAATCATGTAGGGATTCCTAGTTACCCCGAGGTGAATTCAATGGCTGTGAGTGTCAAACACACACTCCTTGTTGCTCCTTAGTTTCCTGTGTACCCAGTGTGCTCTCCGTCTCTCTACAGTCATCTTGTCATTCTCCCCACATCATTCCCAGCATTTGAGGCAGAGCCTCTTCCTTCCATATCAGATTGTTTTCACCTTTGTGCCTTCACGGCTGACAGCTGTGTGTGCAAAATCCTTCCGCCAATCTTTCAGGGGTTCAATCCGTGTTTTTCATTAATGTCACAAATATCTGAATAGTGAGACCTTCTTTGTCACCTGAAATCATACACTCAGCATTATCTATTATTGATTTTGAATTCTGGCTGGGCACAGTGGCTCACGCCTGTAGTCCCATTACTTTGGCATGCTGAGACGGTCGGATCACTTGAGGTTGGGAGTTTCAGACAAGCTTGGCCAACGTGGTGAAACATCCTCTCTACAAAAAATATACAAAAAGAATTAGCCGGGCACGGTGGCAGTTGCCTGTAATCCCAGCTACTCGAGAGGCGGAGGCAGGAGAATCACTTGAATCCAGGAGACGCAGGTTGCAGTGAGCCAAGATCGTGACACTGCACTGTAGCCTGGAAGACAGAGGGCGACTCTGTCTCAATAAACAAAAGAACAAACAAAAAATAGATTTCACGCACAGATGCTTCCCAATGGATCATTCATTTATAGATCCACTTGTGCATTCATTTTCTGCCCTCCCATTTAACCATCTGCAATATCAGTGTCCCAAGGGCAGAGGCCAAATGCATCTTGTTCACTGTTTGTGGAAGGCAGGAGAATGCTGTCCCACCCCAAAATGTCCCTGTCCTAGCCTCCATAGCTTGTGAATATGTTATTTTACATGGAAAGGAGGAATGAAGATTGCAGATGGAATTATGGTTACTAATCAGCTGAACTTAAAACAAGGGTATCCTGGATGATTTCCAGGAGATTATGAGGGATTTTCATCTTGGTGAACCCAATAGAATCCCCAAGTTTTCAAAAGATGAGGAAGAAGGGAGAGCAGCATTCAGAGAAAGAAGTGTGGTAAGGAAGAAGGCACTGAGTGATGCCATGTGAGATGTGACCAGTCTTTGTGGGCTTTGAGGAAGGAGGAAGGGGACCAGGAGCCAAGGAACTGGGAGCCTTTAGAAGCTGGGACAAGTGAGAAGCAGATTCGTGCCTGGAATCCTCAGAGGGAAGGCAGCCTTGCTGTCACCTTGATTTTAGCCCAGTAAGATGCACTTCCTACTTTGAGCTACAGCACTGTAAGATAATTAAAAAACCGTTTTGTTTTCACCCACGAATCTTGTGGAAATTTGTTATGGCAACAATAGGAAAAGGTTCCGCACTGCACAGCCTGAGCATGGGGCCGTGGCTGAATGAGTCAGTGAGTCGAAGTGTGCGTGCATGAGCTCTGTTCTCTGTTACGGCAAGGCTCTTGCTCTGCTGAGTCAGCCAGGGTTGCTTCATGACCTACAGGAGCTCATTCCTTGGCAAGTGGAACTTCTCTAAAACACCTCGCCCTCATCAGATGTTCCCTTCCCTTCCCTCTCTCAAGTCTCCAGGAATTTATCCTCCAGTTAGGAATGCAGGCAGAACAAACATTGCATTTTTCCTGAGAAGGATGTCAGATTGGCAATCATTCTTCTAGCTTGTAGGAGGTCTCAGCTCCATAAAATGAGAGATGAAGAGATTTCACTGAGCCCTGTGTTGGGCCCAGATCCCTTTCGCTGTAGGAGTATCTGGAGTTCGGAGATGGTGGAAGACAGGTGTACAATGTCAGAGCTGTGAGATGCTGAGTCAACGCCTGAATCCAAGGTTTCCACCTCCCCAGGTTTCCAAAAGCGGATATAAGAGGGTTCTGTACTCACCGGTTTCGGAGCTTGGTTCAGTGGGTGAAGGCCAACTATTTGAAGGGTTTCCTAGAACATGAGACAGGAGAGAGGTGAGGAAATGAGGGTTTCTGTCCTCCACTCAGTGGAAATCTTTGAGGATGGTTCATGGCCAACACTCTGTTATCTAATATTGGGCCCTGGGAGTCCTGGGATCCTTTTTTCCATAATTTTTTTATGTGACACCCACTGTCTTGAGACTTCAAGGTATAAAGAGAAAACAGGAGCATCACACTACCTGATCTCAAAATATGTTACAGAGCTGTAGTAAGCAAAATAGCATGACATTGGCATAAAGAAAGGCACATAGAACAACGGAGCAGAATGAATAACACAGATATATTCCATGCATTTACATCCAATGGTTTTTTATTTTTTCTTTTGAGATGGAGTCTTGCTCTGTCACTCAGGCTGGAGTGCAAAGGTGCAATCTCGGTTCACTGCAACCTCAGCCTCCTGGGTTCAATCATTCTCTTGCCTCAAACTCCTGAGTAGTGGTATTACAGGTGCTGACCACCATGCTCAGCTAATTTTTATATTTTTAGTGGAGATGATGTTTCATCACGTCGGCCAGACTAATCTTGAACTCCTGGCCTCAGGTGATCCACCCACCTTGGGCTCCCAAAGTGCTGAAATTGCAGGTGTTAGCCACCAAGCCCAGCCCATCCAATGGACTTTGACAAAGATGCCAAGAACTCACAATCAGGAAAGGACAGTCTTTTCAATAAACAGTGCAGGGAAACCTGGACATCTACATGCAGAGGAATGAAACTGCACCTCTACCTGTCACCATACACAAAAATCAAATGAAAATGGATTAAAGATGTGAGTCTAAGGCCTGAACCTATGAAACACGTAGAACAAAATATTGGGGAAATGCTCCAGGACACTTGTCTGAAGAAAGACATTTTGTTTTAAACCTTGAAAACACAAGTAATCGAAGCAAAAATAGACCATTGGGATTACCTCATACTAAGCAACTTCTGCACCGCTAAAAATAAACCAACAAAGTGAAGAGACAACCCACAGATTGGGAGCAAATATGTGCAAACTATGCATCTGAGATGGGATTAATAACTAGAAATATAAGAAGCTCAAACAACTCAATAAAACAAATGATTTAATTGAAAAAGGAGCAAAAGACATGAAATTTCCCCACATACGAAAAACTGCTCAGTATCACTCATCATCAGAGAAACGCAAATTAAATTCAAAGTGAGTTTTCATCTCACCCCATTAAAATGGCTTTTAGGCCGGGTGAGGTGGCTCACGTTTGTCATCCTAGAACTTTGAGAGCCTGAGGTGGGTGAATCTCATAAGGTCGGGAGTTTGAGACCAGTATGACCCACATAGAGAAACGCTGTCTCTACTAAAAATACAAAAATTAGTCGGGCGTGGTGGCGTGTGCCTGTAATTCCAGCTACTCGGGAGGCTGAGGCAGGAGAATCGCTTGAACCTGGGAGGTGGAGGTTGTGGTGAGCCGAGATCGCGCCACTGCACTCCAGCCTGGGTGAGAAGAGCAAAACTCCATCTCAAAATAAAATGAAATAAAATAAAATGGCTTTTAGCTGCAAGACAGGCAAAAGAAATGCTGGCAAGGTGGTAGAGAAAGGAGAACCCTGGTACCCTGTTGGGAGGAGTGTAAATTAGTACAGCCATTACGGAGAAAAGTATGGAAGTCCTTTAAAGAACTAAAAAGAGGTTGGGTGCGGTGGATCATGCCTGTAATCCCGGCACTTTGGGAGACTGAGGCGGGCACCTCAGTTGAGGTCATGAGTTTGAGAGCAGCCCAGCCAACATGGGGAAACCCCATCTATACTAAAAAAACCAAAAAGTAGCCAGGGATGGTGGTGTGCACCTGTAATCCCAGCTACTAGGGAGGCTGAGGCAGGAAAATCATTTGAACCCAGGAGGCGTAGGTTGCAATGAGCCAAGGTCGCACCACTTTGACTCCAGCTTGGGCTAAGGAGGGAAACTCTTTCTCAAAAAAGAAAAAAAGAAAAAAAGAGAACTTTCATAGTATCCAGCAATTTCACTACTGGGTTTATATCCAAAGGAAAGTAAATCAATATATCGAAGTGATATCTGCACTCGTATGATTGGTGCAGCACTGTTCACAGTAGCCAAGATGAGGAGTCAACCTACCTGCCCATCAGTGGGTAAATGGATAGAGAGAATGTAGTACATACGCATAGTGGAGACTACTCATCCATAGAAAGAATAACATCCTGTCATTTGCAGCCACATGGATGGAACTGGAGGTCATTACAAAGATTCCCATTTCTCACCCATATACAGGAGCTAAAAGGTGGATCTCATGAAGGTAGAGAGTAGAATGGTGGCTACTGGAGGACAGGAAGAAAAGGGTGGAGGGTAAAAAAAATGTATATATATATATGTATATAAATGTATTTATGACCACTAGACTTTACACTTAAAAATGGTAAATGTGGCTGGGCGCGGTGGCCCATGCCTGTAATCCCAGCACTTTGGGAGGCAGATGCGGGTGGATCACTTGGTCAGGAGTTCGAGACCAGCTCGACCAACATGGTGAAACCACCTCCCTACTAAAAATACAAAAAGTAGCCTGGCGTGGTGGTGCGTGCCTGTAGCACCAGCTACTCAGGTGGCTGAGGCAGGAGAATCGCTTGAACCCAGGAGGTGGAGGTTGCAGTGAGCTGAGATTGTGCCACTGCACTCCAGCATAGGGGACACAGCTAGACTCCACCTCAAAAAAAAATGTTAAAAGTGGTAAGCTATATAGGTATATTTATCCTCAATAAATATTTCTTCAAAGAAAAGTAAAGGGTGTAGGGGTTGCTGGTGATGACATCTCTGTGTGGGTGAGAGGCCAGGATGGGCTTCTGGGAAATGGGTAAGGTTGAGGGGCTGAGGGAACCTCTGATCTCCCCAAACTGAGCCCAGTCTCCCTCCTCTGGGTCTCTCCTGACCGCTTTCTCCATCTGCCTGGGTGCCTGGAGCCCTGGCCGTGGGCCTCCATGCAGGCCATGTAGGAGGGTTTGGAGGTGCCCTGTCGGCCATCCTGTGCCCTGATCCCTCCCTCACACCGAGGCTGCGTCTTCTCTCTGCATCTGTCCATGCTTCTCTCCATCATCAGCAGGAAGCTCCTCAGCTAAGGCTCTAGGATCATAGGACATGGGACAGCCATGGGCTTTCCTCACCTGTGACAGAAACAAGCAGTGGGTCACTTGACTTTGACCACTCGTATGGAGAGTCACGGAAAGAGCCGAAGCATCTGTAGGTCCCTCCATGGGTGGCAGGGCCCAGAGGAAAGTTGGCCTGGAATGTTCCGTTGACCTTGGTCCCTGCAGGGAGCCTACGTTCATGGGCCTCCCCTTCCCTGGATAGATGGTACATGTCATAGGAGCTCCGGGAGCTGCAGGACAAGGTCACATTCTCTCCTGCCAGAACCGTGGGGCCCGGCTGGGCTGAGAGAGAAGGTTTCTCATATAGACCTGGAAGGAGAAGAGGCAGTTTCCTCAGGGAGGATCTTCCTTGTCACAGCTCCCTTCACCTGAGCTGAGAACTCACTCCCCTGTTCTATGACCTAATGCTCTCTCTCTCTCTCTCTCACCCTCTACCCCATCGCTCTTCATGTCTATTTCCTCCTTCCACCTTCTCTGTCTCTCTAGGTCTCTGACCTCACTTCCCCACCTCTAGATATGTTTTCTCTTTTTGGATTGTTTTATTCTCTCTGACTCTCCTTGGATTGGTTGACTTGATGTTACTTTTTTTAATTCTGAGTTTCTCACTTTGTGTCCTGTTCATAACTTTCTGCATATTTCTATCTATTATCTATCGATCTATCTATTTATCTATTCGGTGCCTATCTACAAATTCTCTACCTGTCATCTATATCTATATATCATCTATTTATCCATCAATTGTCTATCTATCCATCAATCATCTATTATCTATATCTATGTATCATCTCTCTCTCTCTATGATTTCTCTATGTCTGCCTCTGTATCTCTATGTATTATCTATCTATGTGTCTTCATCATCATCATCTCTATGTCTCATCTATTAATGAATCAATCAATCATCATCTATGTATCTATAACCTATTATCTATCATCTACCTATTTATCATCTATCTATATCTATCCATCTATCATCTGTCTTGCTCTGCCTCTCGGTCTCTCTAGTTCTCTTTGGAATCTCTGCAATTCATCCCCACATCTCCATCTTTCAATGTCCTTGTGCCTCTCCCTCAGGAGTCTAACTTTAGTGATTTTCTCTGCTCCCTTCCATCATTCTCACTTCTCTGCCCTCTTTTCTCTCTCTTTATGTGTCTGTGAGTCGCTCAATCTCCTTCCTCTGGCTCATTCTCTGTGTGTTTATGTCTTTGCTTTTTGGTGTCCCTGATTTCTCTCTGTGCCTCTCACTGATCCTCTCATAAGTGGGCTTATTTGGAATATGAGCCTCAGAATCCAGTCTGGAGACTACAAGTTCACACAGCATACAGGGGTTGGTGTTGTGGGGCCATGATATCCTGGGACGATTACTCTCCATTACATGGAAGGCAGAGGTGTCAGAATAAACATGGCATCTGTAGGTGCCACAAGGCCTGAGGCCACAGGGCCCAACTCAGGTCAGAAATATGGGTGTCCTTGGGTTCTCCTGGTAGAGAACACTTTGTGGAGGTAAAACAGAAATGAAACTTCTAACCTGTGCCAGGTCTCTGAGCAAAGTCAGCATGGAGGGACACCTCTCTCTGGGACATGTCTGTCTGTGTGTCTCCTTTAACTCTTTCTGTCTTTTCAAACTCCCGGTATGGCCCCTGTGTCTGTTCTCTGTTATGACACCTGGTCTCTACTTGTGTCTCCTGTTTCTCTGTCTCTGTTGGCACAGACCTCACCAAGTCAGTCTCTCTCCATAAGAATACCAAGCTCATCTTCCTTACAGCCACCTGGGCCTCCAAGTCCTGGATCATTCACTCTGCATCCCAATGACAATGAGAAGAAAGTCTGGACACTCTCACCTATGATCACGATGTCCAGAGGGTCACTGGGAGCTGACACCTGATAGGGGGAGTGAGTAACAGAACCGTAGCATCTGTAGGTCCCTGCCAGGTCTTGCGTCATGCGACTGATGGAGAAGTTGGCCTTGGAGACCCCATCATGGTGTTCTCCAATGAGGCGCAAAGTGTCGTTAAACATCCCCTCTCTGTGCAGAAGGAAGTGTTCAAACATGACATCTGACCAACATTGCAGGATGACTGTCTCTTCTGATTTCACCAGGCGACCTGGGTGGGCCAGGAGGGAAGGTTTTCTGTGGACTCCTAGGAAGAGAGGTTGTGAGTTTAGAAGGTGTCTCTCTTTATCATCCCATCCATGGCACCTGGATTGAGTGAGGCTTCCCCTTCCTGGTGTCTTATCTCTCTCCTTCCTCTCTGTGTCTTCATGTTCTTTTCTGTGCCCATAACTCCTGGTGCAGGTCCTTCCATCTGTCTCCCTCACTCTTCTCTGTCCCTCTGTCTCTAGTAGCCTCTGATTCCCTTGCCGCTGGGCTCAGCCTCATCTCTTGGGCTGTTGTATCTATTTCGAACTAATGTCTTTCCTGCTGTCTGTGTGGGGGTGGAAGAGGAACCAGGATAGGCTGCACATCCAGGCTCTTAGCAGCCTGGTTCAATCTCTTTTGGACGAATTGGAATCCTTGGCAGGAGGTATGAACTGATCAGTAAGGCAGGCACCAGTGGCCACACACCCTGTTCCTGGTAGGGACTGGGAGACACTCTTGCCATGCCAGTGCCAGCTTCCATAGCCTGGCTCCTGGTGCTGGTTGGAGGAGTATCAACCGCTCCCTATGTGGATGGAGCCTGGTGGTGGCATCATCATCCGAGCCTTGCTGATCTCAGTGTAGCCAACCTTCTCCTTGTTTGGTTTCTTTAATTAATTAATTAATTTTGGCGACAGAGTCTCACTCCTTTGCCCAGGCTGGAGTGAAGTGGTGTGGTCTAGGCTTACTGCAACCTCTGTCTCCTGGGTTCAAGTGATTCTCCTGCCCTCAGCCTCCCAAGTCGCTAGGATTACATGCACCTGCCACCATGCCTGGCTATCCTTGTGTTGTTTCTTAACCTGTCCTTGACCTGGGTTCCAGTGTTGGTTTCCTGTTGCTGCTGTAGAAAATTATCAGAAGCATGGCAGCAGGAGAGAGCACACTAACCCCTTCCAATTCTGGAGACAGAAATCGGACCCTGTTTGTCGTGGGTAAAATCAAGGTACCTGCAGGGCTTCGTTCCCTCTGGAGACTCAGGAGAATCAGTTCCTTGACTTTTCCAGCCTCTATAGGCCACCTGCATTCATGGCTCCTGGACTTCCTCCACCTTCAAAGCTGATGGAGACTCCCATTATGCTGCTGTAATCCCCACTCCCCTCTTCCTCCTCCTTTCATGTGGACCCCTGTGACTACACTGAGCCCATCAGGACAGTCCAGGCCTTCTCCCCATCTCAAGGTCAACTCATCAACAACCTGAGCTCCATCTTCTCCTTCAGTCCCTTCCCCTATATCATAAATAGTCACAGACTCCAGGGATTAGAATGTAGTCATCACTGGGGACAACACAGTGCTTCCCACCACAGCACCCATTTCCCTGTATTCAATCCCCCTTTACCCCAAATACAGTCAGGACTTGCATGATGGGACCCGCAAGGACACGCCCACCAGGAGCTCTGGGATTCAGGAGGTGGGACAAGGAGAATCCCAGACAGGAGCCCTCTGACCTGTGACCGTGATCTCCAGGGGGTTGCTGGGTGCCGACCACCCACTGGGGTAGTGTGGTTGTGAACCCCGACATGTATAGGTCCCTGCGTGTGCTGGGGTCACAGGGCCCATGAAAAGGCTGTTCCAGAATATTATGTTGTAGAGCTCAGGGACAGGCACCCCATCTTCCTTTTACAGACTGAAGTTGTTAAACCCAAGATAAGAATGACACTGAAGAATCACATGTCCTGGAGGCACCACAGGGCTTGGCCAGGCAGACAGCAAGGGCTTGTCCTGACCACCTTGGGGAGAAGGAGGCACCGCCTTAGAGAGGAGGATGTGGAGCCACCCCTCCCTCCCTGTGCTCTGAAGATTCTCCTCGCTTTCCAAGTTTCTATGGCTGCTATCACACCTTGGTGCCCAGGGCTAAAGGAAGGACCCATCCCGCAAACACAAGGTGTCTCCCTACAACAAAAGTGTCAGCTGAGAACTTTGAGCAAGTGCTGAGTAAGAGACTCCTACTAGATTTTAATACTGTAAGATTACTCACATAAAACAACACAGGGTAGACATGGGGTGGAGGGCATGTCCTTTGAGAATGGAATATCAGCTGATGCCTGAACGAAAATAAACAACTGAGTCCCCATCAGAGGATTGGAATGTCAGGGCCATGGCTGTGGTTTTCCCACCTCTTCTGGTAGAATGACAGCAGCCACACTGCAGCCCCTACCGTCATGGAAACGCTGAAGTGTGTGAGTAACACCTTTGTCCTCAGAGGATCTGCTGTTCCTACCACTTCCCCACCACACACCCCAGCTTTGAGCACCGTAGTCTAACCCTGGTCCCCACAGAACTTGACTCTGCCAAGGGAATGAAAGGCCAGGGAGGCAAGGTCAGAAATGTGGGCCCAGCACCCCAGGGTCCCTTCTTCCTAGTTTATGAGAGACTCCCTGACAGGACTTCCCTCCCATTTCAGGAAAATCCTCTTATGTGGGGAGATGACACCCGAAGGTTTGGAGAAGGACTCACCCTCATGTGGCCAGGCCCCCTGCAGCAAGAAGAACCCTGGAAAGAAAGATCATGATGGATGACCCATCTGCAGGCAAACCAGGGCACCCTTGCTGCCCCCACTGGGCTGTGAGTCTTGGTAGCCAGGCCCTTCCTGGGCTGAAGGTAAACTCACCCTCAGTGCCTACCTGCACCCAAGAACAGGGCTGTCGGCTGTGCAGAGACCCAGCCTCCAGGTCCATATCCCCACCTCAAGCCCATATCTCCACTCCAGGCCCATATCTCCACTCCAGGCCGATATTTCCACCCTAAGCCCATATCGCCAATCCAGGCCCATATCTCCAATCCAGGCTCAGATCTCCACCCTGGGCCCATATCTCCAATCCAGGCCCTTATCTCCACTCCAGGTCCATATCTCCTCTCCAGTCCCATATCTCCACTCCAGGCCCATATATCCTCTCCAGTCCCATATCTCCACACCCAGGCCCGTATCTCCATCCTAGGCACATATCTCCTCTCCAGGCCCAGATATCGACCTCTAGGCCCATATCTCCACTCCTGGCCCATATCTCCACTCCAGGCCCAGATATCGACCTCTAGGCCCATATCTCCACTCCTGGCCCATATCTCCACTCCAGGCCCATGTCTCCACTTCAGGCCCATATCTCTACTGCAGGCCCGTAACTCCACCTCCAGGCCCATGACTCCACTCCAGGCCCATATCTCCACCTCCAGGCCCATATCTCCCCTCCAGGTTCCTATCTCCCCTCCAGGTTCCTATCTCCACTCCAGGCCCAGATCTCCACTACAGTCCCATCACTCCACCTCCAGGCCTATATCTCGACCTCTGGGCCCAGATCTCCACTTCTAGGCCCATCACTCCATCTCTAGGCCCATATATCCACTCCAGGCCCAGATCTCCACTCCAGGCCCATAACTCCACCTCCAGGCCTATATCTCCACCTCTGGGCCCAGATCTCCATCCCCGCGCTCCCTCCCTCTATTGCTTTCCAGGACTCACCAACACACGCCATGCTGACGACCAAGAGCGACATGGTGCTGCCGGAGCAGACAGGCAGCCGCGACCGAGCTCAGCTCAGCAGCGCACAGGATGTTATTTGGCGCCCTGCCCATGCAGTTTACATGTTGACCACATCATGGGAGGGTGACGTACGCAGGCTCTTTCTACCTTGCATGAGGCCCAGTGGGTGCTCGCTCAAGAGCGGAACACGGCTTCCTGGAAATTGTTCTCGCTAGAATTTGACACCTAGTGTCCTTCACTATGACCAACTCAAAACACGTCTGAGATCCAACCTCCCGAACACGAGATGCCTAAAATCTGTGCTAACATGAAAGACTTTTCATGTATTTCTATTGTTTTTATCTGAGATTCAAACTCTTCTTCCTGTGTAATATGCAAAATATCTAATAGGTATTATTAATGTTTTCAGAGTCATTGTGACTAACAAACCATTAGAATTTTTCATGCTTGTATTTCTAGTATTACAGCAGAACCAGTTAAAATGATTTAAATTCCCAGGGAAGGATTATGCAATTATTTACAATCTTAGAATTGTACTTTATCAGTAAAAACCCCACCTGTAAATTCTGGAGTTTTGTAGTTTAATCTAAAATTTGTCTCATGACCCAAGATTCCAGAGTCCCAACTCTGGAGTTTGTTTTCCGTCTGTCTCTCTCCCTCCCTCATTTTAAATTTTACAGAAATATCCAGTAACATAATGCTATAGAAAATCAAGTTTCCCCAGCACGTTGGGAAGCCGAGGTGGGCGGATCAACTGAGATAAGGAGTTTGAGAGCAGCCTGGCCAATATAGTGAAACCGTGTCTCTGCTAAAAATCCAAAAATTAGCCGTGCCTGGTGGCAGGCACCTGTAACGCCAGCTACTCAAGAGGCTGAGGCACGAGAATCGCTTGAACCTGGGAGGCAGAAGTTGCAGTGAGCTGAGATTGTGTCACTGCAGTCCAGCCTGGGCGACAGAGCAAGACTCCGCCTCAAGAAAAAAAAGCAAATAGCCTATAATAACAAATTAGAGAGCTCTGGCTACTAAATTTAAAGGGTTCTATAAGGCTACATAAAGTGCAGCATCATCAAGAGTGTGGACACAGAGAGCCCCTTAGCAGAAACAGTGTCTAAAGTACATCCATGTACACACAGTCCCTTTAGAGTTGACAAAGGCTGCCGTGTGGTTTAAGGTGGCATAGAATGTCTTCTCAATAAATAATATTAAACCAATGGGTTATACCTAGGAAAAAATAAATCTAACTCACACTATAAAAACACTTCTTAGTTTTTATCTAGTTGTACATTTTTTATGATTTATATTTAAATTTGAGAAATAAAAGTCATATACGGTCATCCTTCACTATTCCTGGGTGATTGGTTTCGAGATCTCCACTCAGATACCAAAATCTGTAGATGCTCAAGCCTCTTAAATGAAATGGCACAGAGTTTGCAAATAACCTATGCACATCCTCCTCTATAGATGAAATCATCTCTAGATTACTTATAATTCCTGATGCAGCCTACACACAGCTTCATTTGTGTCCATTCAACACAGTTCTGCTTTTTGTAACTCTGTGGATACTTTCTCTGAATATTTTTGATTTATACTCGGTTCAATAAAGAACTGTAAACCCCACAGATATGGAGGAGTGACTGTATATTTATAGTGTGAAAGATGATGTGTTGATATGTGTCCCTGTGTAGATGAGACTAACAAGGCCTATGACTCTACAAATGTTTCATCTTGGAATGACTCTGCCAGATTTCCAGGTCTGCAGAGAGTAAGAATATCACTTGTTCATGTGATTCACGATCCTTGGAACCTCCTATGTGCTACATCTTTGGATGGAAATAGGAGTCCCAGAGACAAATGAGGCTCCACCCTGCTTCCAGAAACTCAGAGTCCGGGGGTGAGAACCCAGTGGAGAACAGATGGGGTTATGTGGACATGGTAATGATAACACTGGAAGTCTTAGGCAAGAAAAGAGTCCCATTACCGAAACCATGAGGGCAGACATGTTTATTTGAAGGAGGGAAAACTACATTGAAATTATTTTAAAAAATATATAAGTTTTACTGCTGACAGAAGGCTGAAAGATACTCTGAGGGGAGGTGGAACAGCATGAGGGAAGGTGGAACAGGACGTGTCTAAGTGCCGTGTTAAGAGGGAGCCTCTTGTATGTTTGGAACTGTGAGTTCCTCAGTGTGATTGCAGCCTCAAGTAGACTAGGAAGTAAGCCAGTAAGGTTGGAGAGGTGGGCAGGGGTCAAGTGAAATGGAGAATTGTGGGCTAAGCAAAGGAGTGTGTTTTCTCTCCAGCAGGCAGTGGGGACCTTAGACATTTGTAAGCAAGAGAGAGGCACATTCAGATTTGTGGTGTGAGGAAGAGCGATGCCCTAAGATGCAGACTCACGCCTTCAGATTCCAGCTGCTGGTACATGGGAGCTGGCAACCCGGTTTTGAGACAGGGCTATTGTCTCCCTAGAAGATCCCCTCAAGGCCTGACTGTGGTGCTCATGGGCAGGAGACAACGTTGGATCTGGACTCAGCATTTGGAAGTTCCGTGTACACTCTGGTATCTGTTGGGGGTGTCTTGGGCCTCTGAGAAGGGCGAGTGATTTTTCTCTGTGTGAAAACGCAGTGATCCAACTGTACGTATGTCACCTCCTGAGGGTCTTGTTCATCAGAGTCCTGGAGAGAGGGAAATCCTGAGTGAGGGAGGGTGCTCACATTTTCCAGGACTGTTTGGGAATAACACTAGCCACGAGGCTGGGCCGAGGAGCACCTACCTAGCTATTCGCTGTTCTGTTCCCTGCAGGCTCTTGGTCCATTACAGCAGCATGTGTAGGAGACGGAAGTCAACAAAAGAGCTCGGAGGGCACTTCTGGGTCCTCATTTCATAAGCAGATACCAACAAACAGGGGGAGGCCATAGGAGCCTGAGGTCCCTCAGTTGCCAACAGCAGACTCAGACATTCTATCTCTCTGAGCTCAAGGACCCATCCCATGAATAGCTCTGAGTTCCCATCCCATTGATTCTGTCTCCCACTTTCTGCCTGTCATGGAACCTTCTCCTGGATGTGAGTGGCTGCAGGGGACGTGAGGATACAGTTCAGAATCAGGCAACGGTCTGTGAGCTGAAGGCAGGGACAGGGAGTCTGGTGCCCTCTCTAGAAAGTCCTGCCTCTGTGGCTGCTGCCTTGGGCCAGGGACCATCCTACCTGTGAGGAACACACACCTGAGTGCTCCCATCCTGCTTCCCCACATGGCCCGGAGCTCTCTGGCCTCTCCTTCGTAAGACTTACTTTTCTTGTTGGAGCACCAGCGATGAAGGAGAAAGAAGAGGAGGAGGATGAAGAGGATGATGACCACTGAGGTCCCAATCAGAACGTGCAGGTGTCTTGGGTTACCTGGAAGAAGATGAGACACCAATAAGAAGCTAATCATAGCAGTTCCTTTTTATGAATTGTCTCGCATTTCTTGATTGACAGGTAACCACGTAATACACCTCTTTAGGACAAGCACCCAGATGGCGGGAGACCCAGCTTTCTCCTGCTTTCTCAGTTATAGCTCTCAAAGTAACCATAGAATGTGCTGAGGATACAACTACTTTAGTTGAGATGTTTGACCCCTTCAAACCTCACATTGAAATTTCACCCCCATTGTGGGAGGTTGGGCCTCTTGAGAGGTGTTTGGGTCATGGAGGTGGATCCATCATGAACAGATCAATGCTGTCCCAAGGAGACGGGGTTAGCAAGTTCCCCCTCTATTAGTTCCTGGAGAGCTGGTTGTTCAAAAGAACTTGGAAGCTCCATCACTCCCCCTCCCCCTTGCTCCCTCTCTTGCCGTGTGATCTCTGTGGTCTCTGCACAGACAGACCCTCCTTCCCTTCTGCCAGAGTGGGAGCAGCCTGAGGCCATCACGAGAAATAGATGCTGGTGCCATGCTTCCAGTACAGCCTGCAGAACGGTGAGACAAACCAATCTCTTTTCTTTAGAAGTTGCCCAGGCTCAAGTGTTCCTTTAGAGCAACAAAAATGGACTAAGACAGCAACGTCCTGAGATCAGGAGGAACGTCCCAGAGCAGCCTGGGCTGTCTTCCTGTTCTTCCTGGAGGAGGACGTCATGCAGTGCTTTAGCTGAGTGCTTCCTGTGGCTCCAGGGTACAAAACCCAGGCTGGGCTGCTTTCTGGCTTCCCCCAGCTACACTGCAAATGGGGTGACTCCATATGTCCCGAGCAGCTTTTCTGAGCCTTGAGGGACTGGCTCACATTGAAATGTAGGCTTCTGTTTTCACTCGCTGCTTATCTGTTAGTAATGAACCTGCCTATGTAACGTATTCTCTGTGTGTTCTGTCTCCCTGGAGTGACGGTGAGTGATAGGAATTGGCGTAGGCCCAGGTGCAGTCTAGGAGGTGTTTAGGGTCTTTTCTGGGAAGACTGCACTGGGATTGACACACAGCGAATGTGCTTTAGGATTTCTACATCCACAGCATTCTTGAGTCAAACAACTTGCGTTCTCCAAGGAAAGGAAACAAAAGTGAAATCAAGATAAAAAAGCGAAATAGAGTTATCTTATGTCCAACAGCCAGGAAATCGTGTTGAAGCCCCTGTGAAACGTCCTACTCTTTGTGATCTCGGGAGACACATGTTAGGCTGCTGTTCTACCTGAGAGGCTGGGGGAAGGACCACCCCCTCCACCATCTATTGCTTCAATACCACCTGTCCTCCTGTGAATTAGTAGGAAAGGGGAGCAGGAGCTAGTGCTGGTGCTGATCTCTCATTCCAAGATCTGGACTCACTCCAAGGAGTATTAATGTTTACCTCCCCATGGTCTATCTGAATCTCCACAGGTGATTGGAAGTAGGGGTGAAGTGGGGGATTTGAGTGAGACGGCAAGTTTTTTTTGTGATGAACAGAGCACTTTCTCTATTCCACGATCTGTGCTGGAGGATTCAGCGGGCTTTCACATTTTCTATATGGTCTCATGCTCACAGAAAGCCAAATACGGAAGAGGTTTTAGGCTCATTGCCTAATGGATAAGACAAAGGATCAAAGAAGTAATTATAGAGAAATACAAAAATGATGATTGGAATTCAGGTGCCTTTGTCATTCGTGTGTGTTTTATTATATTTATGCATTTCTTATTTTTATTTTTTGAGACGGAGTCTCCTTGTGTCACCCAGGCTGGAGTGCAGTGATGCAATCTCCACTCACTGCAACCTCCACCTCCTGGGTTGAAGTCATTCTCCTGCTTCATCCTCAAGAGTAGGAGCTGGGATTACAGGGATGCACCACCATGCTCGACTAATTTTTGTATTTTTCATAGAGACAGGGTTTCACCATTTTGGCCAGGCTGGTCTGGAACTCCTGACTTCAAGTGATCCACCCGCCTTGGCCTCCTGCAGTGCTGGGAATTGCCTTTTCCACGGCCTGAGCATGGGGCCGTGGCTGAATGAGTCAGTGAGTCGAAGTGTGCGTGCATGAGCTCCGTTCTCTGTTAAGGCAAAGCTCTTGCTCTGCTGAGTCAGCCAGGGTTGCTTCATGACCAACAGTAATTCATTCCTGGGCAAGTGGAACTTCTCTAAAACACCTCGCCCTCATCAAATGTTCCCTACCCTTCCCTCTCTCAAGCCCCCAGGAATTTATCCTCCAGTTAGGAATGCAGGCAGAACAAACATTGCATTTTTCCTGAGAAGGATGTCAGATTGCCAATCATTTTTCTAGCTTGTAGGAGATCTCAGCTCCATAAAATGAGAGATTAAGAGATTTCACTCAGCCCTGTTTTGGGTCCAGATCCCTTTCGCTGTTGGAGTATCTGGAGTTCGGAGATGGTAGAAGACAGGCGTACAATGTCAGAGCTGTGAGATGCTGAGTCAACGCCTGAATCCAAGGTTTCCACCTCCCCAGGTTTCCAAAAGCGGATATAAGAGGGTTCTGTACTCACCGGTTTCGGAGCTTGGTTCAGTGGGTGAAGGCCAACTATTTGAAGGGTTTCCTAGAACACGAGACAGGAGAGAGGTGAGGAAATGAGGGTGTCTGTCCTCTACTCAGTGGAAATCTTTGAGGTTGGTTCATGGCCAACACTCTGTTATCTAATATTGGGCCCTGGGAGTCCTGGGATCCTTTTTTCCGTAATTTTTGTATGTGACGGCTACTGTCTTGAGACTTCAAGGTATAAAGAGAAAACAGGAGCATCACACTACCT
Source organism: Homo sapiens (assembly GCF_000001405.40). Classification (NCBI taxonomy): domain Eukaryota; kingdom Metazoa; phylum Chordata; class Mammalia; order Primates; family Hominidae; genus Homo; species Homo sapiens. Next base: position 106,676 of record NT_187675.1, on the reverse strand, counting down.
GATCTCAAAATATGTTGCAGAGCTGTAGTAAGCAAGACAGCATGACATTGGCATGAAGAAAGGCACATAGAACAACGGAGCAGAATGAATAACACAGATATAATCCATGCATTTACCTCCAATGTATTTTTTGTTTTTCTTTTGAGATGGAGTCTTGCTCTGTCACCCAGGCTGGAGTGCAGAGGTGCAATCTCGGTTCACTGCCACCACAGCCTCCTGGGTTCAATCACTTCTCTGGCCTCAAACTCCTGAGTAGTGGTATTACAGGTGCTGACCACCATGCTCAGCTAATTTTTATATTTTTAGTGGAGACGATGTTTCATCACGTCGGCCAGAGTAATCTTGTACTCCTGTCCTCAGGTGATCCACCAGCCTTGGCCTCCCAAAGTGCTGAAGTTGCTGGTGTTAGCCACCATGCCCAGCCCATCCAATGGACTTTGACAAAGGTGCCAAGAACTCACAATCAGGAAAGGACAGTCTTTTCAATAAACAGTGCAGGGAAACCTGGACATCTACATGCAGAGGAATGAAACTGCACCTCTGCCTGTCACTATACACAAAAATCAAATGAAAATGGATTAAAGATGTGAGTCTAAGGCCTGAACCTATGAAACACGTAGAAGAAAATATTGGGGAAATGCTCCAGGACGTTTGTCTGAGGGAAGACATTTTGTTTTAAACCTTGAAAACACAAGTAATCGAAGCAAAAATAGACCATTGGGATTACCTCAAACTAAGCAACTTCTGCACTGCTAAAAATAAACCAACAAAGTGAAGAGACAACCCACAGATTGGGAGCAAATATGTGCAAACTATGCATCTGAGATGGGATTAATAACTAGAAATATAAGAAGCTCAAACAACTCAATAAAACAAATGATTTAATTGAAACAGGAGCAAAAGACATGAAATTTCCCCACATACTAAAAAGTGCTCAGTATCACTCATCATCAGAGAAACGCAAATTAAAATCAAAGTGAGTTTTCATCTCACCCCATTAAAATGGCTTTTAGGCCGGGTGAGGTGGCTCACGTCTGTCATCCTAGAACTTTGAGAGCCTGAGGTGGGTGAATCTCATAAGGTCGGGAGTTTGAGACCAGTCTGACCCACATGGAGAAACACTGTCTCTACTAAAAATACAAAAATTAGTCGGGCGTGGTGGCGTGTGCCTGTAATTCCAGCTACTCGGGAGGCTGAGGCAGGAGAATCGCTTGAACCTGGGAGGTGGAGGTTGCGGTGAGCCGAGATCGCACCACTGCACTCAGCCTGGGTGACAAGAGCGAAACTCCATCTCAAAATAAAATGAAATAAAATAAAATGGCTTTTAGCTGCAAGACAGGCAAAAGAAATGCTGGCAAGGTGTTAGAGAAAGGAGAATCCTGGTATCCTGTTGGGAGGAGTGTAAATTAGTACAGCCATTACGGAGAAAAGTGTGGAAGTCCTTTAAAGAACTAAAAAGAGGTTGGGTGAGGTGGATCAGGCCTGTAATCCCGGCACTTTGGGAGACCGAGGCGGGCACCTCAGTTGAGGTCATGAGTTTGAGAGCAGCCCAGCCAACATGGGGAAACCGCATCTATACTAAAAAAAACAAAAAGTAGCCAGGCATGGTGGCGTGCGCCTATAATCCCTGATACTAGGGAGGCTGAGGCAGGAAAATCATTTGAACCCAGGAGGCAGAGGTTGCAATGAGCCAAGATCATATCACTTGTACTCCAGCCTGGCACAGAGGGAAACTGTCTCAAAAACAAAAACAAAACAACAAACGAAAAACTAAAAAGAGAACTTTCATAGTATCCAGCAATTTCACTACTGGGTTTATATCCAAAGGAAAGTAAATCAATATATCGAAGTGATATCTGCACTCGTATGATTGGTGCAGCACTCTTCACAGTAGCCAAGATGTGGAGTCAACCTACCTGCCCATCAGTGGGTGAATGGATAGAGAGAATGTGGTACATTTGCATAGTGGAGACTACTCTTCCATAGAAAGAATAACATCCTGATATTTGCAGCCACATGGATGGAACTGGAGGTCATTACAAAGATTCCCATTTCTTACCCATATACAGGAGCTAAAAGGTGGATCTCATGAAGGTAGAGAGTAGAATGGTGGCTACCAGAGGCCAGGAAGAAAAGGGTGGAGGGTAAAAAAAAATATATGTGTATATATATATATATTAATGTATTTATGACCACTAGACTTTACACTTAAAAATGGTAAATGTGGCTGGGCGTGGTGGCTCATGCCTGTAATCCCAGCACTTTGGGAGGCTGATGCGGGTGGATCACGTGGTCAGGAGTTCGAGACCAGCTTGACCAACATGGTGAAACCCCCTCTCTACTAAAAATACAAAAAGTAGCCTGGCATGGTGGTGCGCGCCTGTAGCACCAGCTACTCAGGTGGCTGAGGCAAGAGAATCGCTTGAACCCAGGAGGCGGAAGTTGCAGTGAGCTGAGATTGTGCCAATGCACTCCAGCATAGGGGACAGAGCTAGACTCCGCCTCAAAAAAAAAAATGTTAAAGGTGGTAAGCTATATAGTTATATTTATCCTCAATAAATATTTCTCAAACAAAAGTAAACGGTGTAGGGGTTGCAGGTGATGACATCCCTGTGTGGGTGGGAGGCCAGGATGGGCTTCTGGGAAATGGGTAATGTTGAGGGGCTGAGGGAACCTCTGATCTTCCCAAACTGAGCCCAGTCTCCCTCCTCTGGGTCTCTCCTGACCGCTTTCTCCATCTGCCTGGGTGCCTGGAGTCCTGGCCGCAGGCCTTCATGCAGGCCATGTAGGAGGGTTTGGAGGTGCCCTGTCTGCCATCCTGTGCCCTGATCCCTCCCTCACACCCAAGCTTCGTCTTCTCTCTGCATCTGTTCATCCTTCTCTCCATCCTCAGCAGGAAGCTCCTCAGCTAAGGCTCTAGGATCATAGGACATGGGACAGCCATGGGCTTTCCTCACCTGTGACAGAAACAAGCAGTGGGTCACTCGAGTTTGACCACTCGTAGGGAGAGTCACGGAAAGAGCCGAAGCATCTGTAGGTTCCTCCGTGGGTGGCAGGGCCCAGAGGAAAGTCAGCCTGGAATGTTCCGTTGACCTTGGGCCCTGCAGAGAACCTACGTTCATGGGCCTCCCCCTCCGTGGATAGATGGTACATGTCATAGGAGCTCCGGGAGCTGCAGGACAAGGTCACGCTCTCTCCTGCCAGAACCGTGGGGCCCGGCTGGGCTGAGAGAGAAGGTTTCTCATATAGACCTGGAAGGAGAAGAGGCATTTTCCTTACGGAGGCTCTTCCTTGTCACAGCTCCCTTCACCTGAGCTGAGAACTCACTCCCCTGCTCTATGACCTAATGCTCTCTCTCTCTCTCTCTCACCCTCCACCCCATCTCTCTTCATGTCTATTTCCTCCTTCCACCTTCTCTGTCTCTCTAGGTCTCTGACCTCGCTTCCACACCTCTAGATATGTTTTCCCTTTTTGGATTGTTTTATTCTCTCTGACTCTCCTTGGATTGGTTCACTTGATGTTACTTTTTTAAATTCTAAGTTTCTCACTTTGTGTCCTGTTCATAACTTTCTGCATATTTCTATCTATTATCTGTCGATCTATCTATTTATCTATTCGGTGCCTATCTACAAATTCTCTACCTGTCATCTATATCTATATATCATCTATGTATCTATCACTTGTCTATCTATCCATCAATCATCTGTTATCTATATCTATGTATCATCTCTCTCTCTATGACTTCTGTCTGCCTCTCTATCTCTATGTATTATCTATCTGTCTTCATCATCATCATCTCTATGTCTCATCTATTAATGAATCAATCAATCATCATCTATGTATCTTTAACCTATTATCTATCATCTACCTATTTATCATCTATCTATATCTAACCATCTATCATCTGTCTTGCTCTGCCTCTCGGTCTCTCTAGTTCTCTTTGGAATCTCTGCAATTCATCCCCACATCTCCATCTTTCTATGTCCTTGTGCCTCTCCCTCAGGACTCTAATTTTAGTGCTTTTCTCTGCTCCCTTCCATCATTCTCACCACTCCTCTGCCCTCTTTTCTCTCTCTTTATGTGTCTGTGAGTCTCTCAATCTCCTTCCTCTGGCTCATTCTCTGTGTGTTTATGTCTTTGCTTTTTGGTGTCCCTGATTTCTCTCTGTGCCTCTCAGTGATCCTTTCATATGTGGGGTTATTTGGAATGTGAGCCTCAGAATCCAGTCTGGAGACCACAAGTTCACACAGCATACAGGGGTTGGTGTTCTGGGGCCATGATATCCTGGGACGGTTACTCTCCATTACATGGAAGGCAGAGGTGTGAGAATAAACACGGCATCTGTAGGTGCCACAAGGCCTGAGGCCACAGGGCCCAACTCAGGTCAGAAATATGGGTGTCCTTGGGTTCTCCTGGTAGAGAACACTTTGTGGAGGTAAAACAGAAATGAAACTTCTAACCTGTGCCAGGTCTCTGAGCAAAGTCAGCATGGAGGGACACCTCTCTCTGGGACATGTCTGTCTGTCTGTCTCCTTTAACTCCTTCTGTCTTTTCTAACTCCCGGTATGGCCCCTGTGTCTGTCCTCTGTTATGACACCTGGTCTGTACTTGTGTCTCCTGTTTCTCTGTCTCTGTTGGTACAGACCTCACCAAGTCAGTCTCTCTCCATAAGAATACCAAGCTCATCTTCCTTACAACTACCTGGGGGTTCCAAGTCGTGGATCATTCACTCTGCATCCCAATGACAATGAGAAGAATGTCCGGACACTCTCACCTGTGATGACGATGTCCAGAGGGTCACTGGGAGCTGACAACTGATGGGGGAGTGAGTAACAGAACCGTAGCATCTGTAGGTCCCTGCCAGGTCTTCCATCATGGGACCGATGGAGAAGTTGGCCTTGGAGACCCCATCATGGTGCTCTCCAGTGAGGTGCAAAGTGTCGTTAAATGTCCCCTCTCTGTGCAGAAGGAAGTGCTCAAACCTGACATCTGACCAACATTGCAGGATGACTGTCTCTTCTGATTTCACCAGGGGACCTGGGTGGGCCAGGAGGGAAGGTTTTCTGTGGACTCCTAGGAAGAGAGGTTGTGAGTTTAGAAGGTGTCTCTCTTTATCATCCCATCCATGGCACCTAGAATGAGTGAGGCTTCCCCTTGCTGGTGTCTGTCTCTCTCCTTCCTCTCTGTGTCTTCATGTTCTTTTCTGTGCCCATAACTCCTGGTGCAGGTCCTTCCATCTGTCTCCCTCCCTCTTCTCTGTCTCTCTGTCTCTAGTCGCCTCTGATTCCCTTCCCACTGGGCTTAGCCTCATCTCTTGGGGTGTTGTATCTATTTCACACTAATGTCTTTCCTGCTGTTTATGTGGGGGTGAAAGAGGAACCAGGATAGGCTGCACATCCAGCCTCTTATCAGCCTGGTTCAATCTCTTTTGGATGAATTGGAATCCTTGGCAGGAGGTATGAACTGATGAATAAGGCAGGCAGCAGTGTCCACACACCCTGTTCCTGGTCGGGACTGGGAGCCACTCTTGCCATGCCTGTGCCTTCTCCATGGTGCCAGCTTCCATAGGCTGGCTCCTGGTGCTGGTTTGAGGAGTATCAACCCCTCCCTATGTGGATGGAGCCTGGTGGTGGCATCATCATCCCACACTTGCTGATCTAGGTGTAGCCAACCTTCCCCTTGTTTGGTTCCTTTAATTAATTAATTAATTATGGAGATCAGAGTCTCACTCCTTCACCCCAGCTGGAGTGAAGTGGTGTGGTCTAGGGTCACTGCAACTTCTGTCTCCTGGGTTCAAGTGATTCTCCTGCCCTCAGCCTCCCAAGTCGCTAGGATTACATGCGCCTGCCACCACACCCGGCTATCCTTGTGTTGTTTCTTAACTTGTCCTTGACCTGGGTTCCAGTGTTGGTTTCCTGTTGCTGCTGTAGAAAATTATCAGCAGCATGGCAGCAGGAGAGAGCACACTGACCCATTTCACTACTGGAGACAGAAATAGGACCCTGTTTTTCCTGGGCTAAAATCAAGGCATCTGCAGGGCTTCGTTCCCTCTGGAGACTCTGGAGAATCATTTCCTTGACTTTTCCAGCCTCTACAGGCCACCTGCATTCATGGCTCCTGGACTTCCTCCACCTTCAAAGCTGGTGGAGTCTCCCATTGCGCTGCTCTAATCCCCACTCCCCTCTTCCTCCTCCTTTCATGTGGACCCTTGTGATTACACTGAGCCCAGCGGGACAGTCCAGGCTGTCTCCCCATCTCAAGGTCAACTCATCAACAACCTGAGCTCCATCTTCCCCTTCAGTTCCTTCCCCTATAACATAAATAGTCACAGACTCCAGGGATTAGAATGTAGTCATCACTGGGGACAATTATTCTTCCCACCACAGCACCCATTTCCCTGTATTCAATCCCCCTTTACCCCAAATATAGTCAGGGCCTGGGTGATGGGACCCTCAAGGACACGCCCACCAGAAGCTCTGGGATTCAGGAGGTGGGAAAGGAGAATCCAAGACAGGAGCCCTCTGACCTGTGGCCATGATCACCAGGGGGTTGCTGGGTGCCGACCACCCACTGGGGGAGTGTGGGTGTGAACCCCGACATCTGTACGTCCCTGTGTGTGCTGGGGTCACAGGGCCCATGAAAAGGCTCTTCCAGAATATTCTGTTGTAGAGCTCAGTGCCAGGCACCCCATCTTCCTTTTACAGACTGAAGTTGTTAAACCCAAGATAAGAATGACACCGAAGAATCACATGTCCTGGAGGCACCACAGAGCTGGGCCAGGCAGACAGCAAGGGCTTGTCCTGACCACCTTGGGGAGAAGGAGGCACCGCCTTAGAGAGGAGGATGTGGAGCCACCCCTCCCTCCCTGTGCTCTGAAGATTCTCCTCGCTTTCCAAGTTTCTATGGCTGCTATCACACCTTGGTGCCCAGGGCTAAAGGAAGGACCCATCCCGCAAACACAAGGTGTCTCCCTACAACAAAAGTGTCAGCTGAGAACTTTGAGCAAGTGCTGAGTAAGAGACTCCTACTAGATTTTAATACTGTAAGATTACTCACATAAAACAACACAGGGTAGACATGGGGTGGAGGGCATGTCCTTTGAGAATGGAATATCAGCCGATGCCTGAATGAAAATAAGCAACTGAGCCCCCATCAGAGGATTTGGAATGTCAGGGCCATGGCTGTGGTTTCCCACCTCTTCTGGTGGAGTGACAGCAGCCACACTGCAGCCCCTACCGTCATGGAAACGCTGAAGTGTGAGTAACACCTTTGTCCTCAGAGGATCTGCTGTTCCTACCACTTCCCCACCACACACCCCAGCTTTGAGCACCCCAGTCTAACCCTGGTCCCCACAGAACTTGACTCTGCCAAGGGAATGAAAGGCCAGGGAGGCGAGGTCGGAACTGTGGGCCGAGCACCCCAGGGTCCCCTCTTCCTAGTTTATGAGAGGCTCCCCGACAGGACTTCCCTCCTGTTTCAGGAAAATCCTCTTATGTGGGGAGATGACACCCGAAGGTTTGGAGAAGGACTCACCCTCATGTGGCCAGGCCCCCTGCAGCAAGAAGAACCCTGGAAAGAAAGATCATGATGGACCATCCATCTGCAGGCGAACCAGCCCTCCCTTGCTGCCCTCACTGGGCTGTGAGTCTTGGTAGGCAGGCCCTTCCTGGGCTGAAGTTAAACTCACCCTCAGTGCCTACCTGCACCCAAGAACAGGGCTGTCGGCTGTGCAGAGACCCAGCCTCCAAGCCCAGATCCCCACCACAAGCCCATATCCCCACCAGAAGCCCATATCTCCACTCCAGGCCAATATTTCCACCCTAGGCCTGTATCTCCACTCCAGGCCCATATCTCCACTCCAGGCCGATATTTCCATCATAGGCCCATATCGCCAATCCAGGCCCATATCGCCAATCCAGGCCAAGATCTTCACTGTAAGCCCATATCTCCAATCCAGGCCCATATCTCCACTCCAGGCTCAGATCTCCACCCTAGGCCCATATCTCCAATCCAGGCCCATATCTCCACACCAGGCCCATATCTCTACTGAAGGCCAGTAACTCCACCTCCAGGCCCATATCTCCACTCCAGGCCCAGATCTCCACCCCAAGCCCATATCTCCACCCCAGGCCCATATCTCTACTGAAGGCCCGTAACTCCACCTCCAGGCCCATATCTCCACCCCAGGCCCAGATCTCCACCCCAAGCCCATATCTCCACTCTAGGCCCATATCTCCTCTCCAGTCCCATATCTCCACAACCAGGCCCATATCTCCATCCTAGGCCCATATTTCCACTCTAGGCCCAGATATCCACCTCTAGGCCCATATCTCCACTCCTGGCCCAAATCTCCACTCCAGGCCCATATCTCTACTATAGGCCTATAACTCCACCTCCAGGCCCATATCTCCACTCCAGGCTCCTATCTCCCCTCCAGGTTCCTATCGGCACTCCAGGCCCAGATCTCCACTTCTAGGCCCATCACTCCATCTCTAGGCCCATATATCCACTCCAGGCCCAGATCTCCACTCCAGGCCCACAACTCCACCTCCAGGCCTATATCTCCACCTCTGGGCCCAGATCTCCAACCCCACACTCCCTTCCTCTATTCCCTTCCAGGACTCACCAACACACGCCATGCTGACGACCGTGAGCGACATGGTGCTGCCGGTGCAGACAGGCGGCCGCGCCCCAGCTCAGCTCAGCAGCGCACAGGATGTTATTTGGCGCCCTGCCCATGCAGTTTACATGTTGACCACATCATGGGAGGGTGACGTACGCAGGCTCATTCTACCTTGCATGAGGCCCAGTGGGTGCTCGCTCAAGAGCGGAACACGGCTTCCTGGAAATTGTTCTCACTAGAATTTACACCTAGCGTCCTTCACTATGACCAACTCAAAACACGTCTCAGATCCAACCTCCTGAACACGAGATGCCTAAAATCTGTGCTAACGTGAAAGACTTTTCATGTATTTTTATTGTTTTTATCTGAGATTCAAACTCTTCTTCATGTGTAATATGCAAAATATCTAATAGGTATTATTAAGGTTTTCAGAGTCATTGTGACTAATAAACCATTAGAATTTTTCATGCTTGTATTTCTAGTATTACAGCAGAACCAGTTAAAATGATTTAAATTCCCAGGGAAGGATTATGCAATTATTTACAATCTTTGAATTGTACGTTATCAGCAAAAACCACACATTTAAACTCTGGATTTTTGTAGATTTATCTAAAATTTGTCTCATGACCCAAGTTTCCAGAGTCCCAACTCTGGAGTTTGTTCTCTCTCTGTCTCTCTGCCTCCCTCATTTTAAATTTTACAGAAATATCCAGTAACATAATGCTATAGAAAATCAAGTTTCCCCCAGCACGTCGGGAAGCCGAGGTGGGCGGATCAACTGATATAAGGAGTTTGAGAGCAGCCTGGCAACACAGTGAAACCGTGTCTCTGCTAAAAATCCAAAAATTAGCCGTGCCCAGTGGCAGGAACTTGTAACGCCAGCTACCCAAGAGGCTGAGGCACGAGAATCGCTTGAACCTGGGAGGCGGAGGTTGCAGTGAGCTGAGATTGCACCACTGCAGTCCAGCCTGGGCGACAGAGCAAGACTCCGCCTCAAGAAAATAAAAATAGCAAATAGCCTATAATAACAAATTAGAGGCCTCTGGCTACTAAATTTAAAGGGTTCTATGGGGCTACATAAAGTGGAGCATCCTCAAGAATGTGGACACAGAGAGCCGTTTAGCAGAGACAGTGTCTAAAATACACATCCGTGTACACACAGTCCCTTTTTAGTTGACAAAGCTGCCGTGTGGTTTAAGGTGGCATAGAATGTCTTCTCAATAAATAATATTAAACCAAAGGGTTACACATAGGAAATAATAAATCTAAACTTATTCTCACACTATAAAAACACTTCTTAGTTTTTATCTAGTTATTGTACATTTTTTATGATTTATATTTAAATTTGAGAAATAAAAGTCCTATACCGTCATCCTTCACTATTCATGGGTGATTGGTTTCGAGATCTCCACTCAGATACTAAAATCTGCAGATGCTCAAGCCTCTTACGTAAAATGACACAGCATTTGGATATAACCCATGCACATCCTCCTGTATACATGAAATCATCTCTTGATTACTTATAATTCCTGATACAGCCTATACACCACCTCATTTGTGTGCATTCAACACAGTTTTGCTTTTTGGAACTTTGTGGGCTTTTTCTCTGAATATTTTTGATTTATACTTGGTTCAATAAACACCTGTAAACCCCACAGATACGGAGGAGCGACTGTATATTTATAGTATGAAAGATGATGCGTTGACATGTGTCCCCGTGGAGATGAGACTAACAAGGCCTATGACTCTACAAATGTTTCATCATGGAATGACTCTGCCAGCTTTCCAGGTCTGCAGAGAGTAAGAATATCACTTGTTCATGTGATTCACGATCCTTGGAACTTCCTATGTGCTGCATCTTTGGATGGAAATTGGAGTCTCAGAGACAAGTCAGGGTCCACCCTGTTCCAGAAGCTCAGAGTCCAGGGGTGAGAACCCAGTGGAGAACAGATGGGGTTATGTGGACATGGTAATGATAACACCGGAAGCCTTAGGAAAGAAAAGAGTCCCATTACCGAAACGATGAGGGCAGACATGTTTATTTGAAGGAGGGAAAACTACATTGAAATTACTAAAAACAATTTATAAGTTTTACTGCTGACAGAAGGCTGAAAGATAGTCTGAGGGGAGGTGGAACTGCATGAGGGAAGGTGGAACAGCACGTGTCTAAGTGCCGTGTTAAGAGGGAGCCTCTTGTATGTTTGGAATTGTGAGTTCCTCAGTGTGATTGCAGCCTCAAGTAGACTAGGAAGTAAGCCAGTTAGGTTGGAGAGGTGGGCAGGGGTCAAGTGAAATGGAGAATTGTGGGCTAAGCAAAGGAGTGTGTTTTCTCTGCAGCAGGCAGTGGGGACCTTAGACATTTGTAAGCAAGAGAGAGGCATGTTCAGATTCGTGGTGTGAGGAAGAGCGATGCCCTAAGATGAAGACTGATGCCTTCAGATTCCAGCTGCTGGTACATGGGAGCTGGCAACCCGGTTTTGAGACAGGGCTGTTGTCTCCCTAGAAGATCCCCTCAAGGCCTGACTGTGGTGCTCGTGGACAGAAGACAGCTTTGGATCTGGACTCAGCATTTGGAAGTTCTATGTACATGCTGCTATCTGTTGGGGGTGTCTTGGGCCTCTGAGAAGGGGGAGTGATTTTTCTCTGTGTGAAAACACAGTGATCCAATTATGCGTATGACACCTCCTGATGGTCCTGTTCATCAGAATCCTGGAGAGAGGGAAATGCTGAGTGAGGGAGGGTGCTCACATTTTTCAGGACTCTTTGGGAATAAGACTAGCCACGAGGCTGGGCCGAGGAGCACCTACCTCCCTGTTCACTGTTCTGTTCCCCGCAGGCCCTTGGTCCATTACAGATGCATCTGTAGAAGATGGAAGTCAACAAAACAGCTCGGAGGGCACTTCTGGGTCCTCATTTCATAAGCAGATACCAACAAACAGGGGGAGGCCATAGGTGCCTGAGGTCCCTCAGTTGCCAACAGCAGACTCAGACATTCTATCTCTCTGAGCTCAAGGACCCATCCCATGAATAGCTCTGAGTTCCCATCCCATTGATTCTATCTCCCACTTTCTGCCTGTCATGGAACCTTCTCCTGGATGTGAGTGGCTGCAGGGGACGTGAGGGTACAGTTCAGAATCAGGCAATGGTCTGTGAGCTGAAGGCAGGGGCAGGGAGTCTGGTGCTCTCTCTAGAAAGTCCTGCCTCTGTGGCTCCTGTCTTGGGCCAGGGACCATCCTGCCTGTGAGGAACACACACCCACGTGCTAACATCCTGCTTCCCCACATGGCCCTGAGCTCTCTGGCCTCTGCTTCGTGAGACTTACTTTTTTTGTCGGAGCACCAGCGATGAAGGAGAAAGAAGAGGAGGATGGTGAAAGGGAGTTTGACCACTGAGGTCCCAATCAGAACGTGTAGGTGTCTGGGGTTACCTGGAAGAAGAGGAGACACCAATAAGAAGCTAATCATAGCAGTTCCTCTTTATGAATTGTCTCGCATTTCTTGATTGACAGGTAACCACATACAACGTCTCTTTAGGACAAGCACCCAAATGGTGGGAGACCTAGCTTTCCCCTGCTTTCTCAGTTATAGCTCTCATAGTAACCATAGAACGTGCTGAGGATACAACTACTTTAGTTGAGATGTCTGACCCCTTCAAACCTCACATGGAAATTTCACCCCCAGTGTGGGAGGTTGGGCCTCTTGGGAGGTGTTTGGGTCATGGAGGTGGATCCATCATGAACAGAACAATGCTGTCCCAAGGAGACGGGGTTAGCAAGTTCCCCCTCTATTAGTTCCTGGAGAGCTGGTTGTTCAAAAGAGCTTGGAAGCTCCATCGCTCCCCCTCCCCCTTACTCTCTCTCTTGCCGTGTGATCTCTGCGGTCTCTGCACAGACAGACCCTCCTTCCCTTCTGCCAGAGTGGGAGCAGCCTGAGGCCGTCACAAGAAATAGATTCTGGTACCATGCTTCCAGTACAGCCTGCAGAACGGTGAGGCAAACCGATCTCTTTTCTTTAGAAGTTACCGAGGCTCAAGTTTTCCTTTAGAGCAACAAAAAAAAACTACGACAGCAACGTACTGAGATCAGGAGGAATGTCTCAGAACAGCCTGGGCTGTCTTCCTGTTCTTCCTGGAGGAAGGCGTCATGCAGTGCTTTAGCTGAGTGCTTCCTGTGGCTCCAGGGTACAAAACCCAGGCTGGGCTGCTTTCTGGCTTCCCCCAGCTACACTGCAAATGGGGTGACTCCATATGTCCCGAGCAGCTTTTCTGAGCCTTGAGGGACTGGCTCACATTGAAATGTAGGCTTCTGTTGTCACTCGCTGCTTATCTGTTAGTAATGAACCTGCCTGTGTAATGTATTCTCTGTGTGTTCTGTCTCCCTGGAGTGACGGTGAGTGATAGGAATTGGCATAGGCCCAGGTGCAGTCCAGGAGGTGTTTAGAGTCTTCTCTGGGAAGACTGCACTGGGATTGATACACAGCGAATGTGCTTTAGGATTTCTACATCCAGGGCATTCTTGAGTCAAACAACTTGCATTCTCCAAGAAAAGGAAACAAAAGTGAAATCAAGATAAAAAAAGCGAAGTAGAATTCTCTTATGTCAAATGGCCAGGAAACAGTGTTGAAGCCCATGTGAAACGTGCTACTCTTTGTGATCTCCGGAGACACATGTTAGGCTGCTGTTCTACCCCAGAGGCTGGGGGAAGGACCACCCCCTCGGCCATCTATTGCTTCAATACCACCTGTCCTCCTGTGAATTAGTAGGAAAGGGGAGCAGGAGCTAGTGCTGACGCTGATCTCTGATTCCAAGATCTGGACTCACTCCAAGGAGTATTAGAATTTACCTCCCCATGGTCTATCTGAATCTCCACAGATGATTGGAAGTAGGGGTGAGGTGGGGGATTTGGGTGAGAGGGCATGTTTTTTTTGTGATGAACAGAGCACTTTGTGTATTCCAGGATCTGTGCTGGAGGATTCAGCGGGCTTTCACATTTTCTATATGATCTCATGCTCACAGAAAGCCAAATAGGGAAGAGGTTTTAGGCTCATTGCCTAATGGATAAGATAAAAGATCAAAGAAGTAATTATAGAGAAATAGAAAAATCATGATTGGAATTCAGGTCCCTTTGTCATTTGCGTGTGTTATATTATATTTATATTTATGCATTTCTTATTTTTATTTTTTGAGACGGAGTCTCCTTGTGTCACCCAGGCTGGAGTGCAGTGATGCAATCTCCACTCACTGCAACCTCCACCTCCTGGGTTGAAGTCATTCTCCTGCTTCATCCTCCAGAGTAGGAGCTGGGATTACAGGGATGCACCACCATGCTCGGCTAATTTTTGTGTTTTTCCTAGAGACAGGGTTTCACCAGGTTGGCCAGGCTGGTCTCGAACTGCTGACTTCATGTGATCCACCCTCCTTGGCCTCCTGCAGTGCTGGGTTACAGGCGTGAGCCACCGTTCACAGACTTGTATATTATGCTATAATAGGTCCCTTCATTTCCACCACCACTCATATATCTGTCACTCCTTTGCCAGGTATTGATTTATGTGTAGTAGGAATAAAGCTCAGAAAGAAATTAAGCGAGGATTAGACAACTAGGAAAATCATACCCAGCAAGCCTTTCCAGCCAATGATTCCACCTCACAAGCATAGCTTATATCCATCTGCTTCACCCAGTTAGGGTCTAAATCAGCACCACATTTCACCAGTGAGGCGGGAATTGCCTTTTCCACAGTCTCCTAGATTCTAGTTACGCACCTGGGCCTCCCTTATTTTCATGTCAGTCATATTAATCATGTAGGGATTCCTGGTTACCCCGAGGTGAATCCAATGGCTGTGAGTGTCAAACACACACTCCTTGTTGCTCCTTAGTTTCCTGTGTACCCAGTGTGCTCTCCGTCTCTCCACAGTCGTCTTGTCATTCTCCCCACGTCATTCCCAGCATTTGAGGAAGAGCCTCTTCCTTCAACATCAGATTATTTTCACCTTTGTGCGTTCACGGCTGACAGCTGTGTGTGGAAAATCCTTCCACCAATCTTTCAGGGGTTCAATCCGTGTTTTTCATTAATGTCACAAATATCTGATTAGTGAGATCTTCTCTGTCACCCAAAATCATACACTCAGCATTATGTATTATTTATTTTAAATTCTGGCTGGGCACAGTGGCTCACGCCAGTTATCCCAGTACTTTAGGATGCTGAGACGGTCGGATCACTTGAGGTTGGGAGTTTCAGAGAAGCTTGGCGAAGATGGTGAAACATCCTCTACAAAAAATATACAAAAAGAATTAGCCGGGCATGGTGGCAGTTGCCTGTAATCCCAGCTACTTGAGAGGCTGACGCAGGAGAATCACTTGGATCCAGAAGGTGCAGGTTGCAGTGAGCCAAGATGGTGACACTGCACTGTAGCCTGGAAGACAGAGGGCGACTCTGTCTCAATAAACAAATGAAGAAACAAACAAATAGATTTCATACACAGATGCTTCCCAATGGATCATTCATTTATTGGTCCACTTGTGCATTCATTTTCTGCCCTCCCATTTAACCATCTGCAATATCAGTGTCCCAAGAGCAGAGGCCAAATGCATCTTGTTCACTGTTTGTGGAAGGTAGGAGAATGCTGTCCCACCCCAAAATGTCCCTGTCCTAGCCTCCATAGCTTGTGAATATCTTATTTTACATGGAAAGGAGGAATGAAGATTGCAGATGGAATTATGGTTGCTAATCAGCTGAACTTAAAACAAGGGTATCCTGAATGATTTCCGGGAGATTATGATGGATTTTCATCTTGGTGAACCCAATAGAATCCCCAAGTTTTCAAAAGATGAGGAAGAAGGGAGAGCAGCATTCAGAGAAAGAGGTGTGGTAAGGAAGAAGGGTCTGAGTGATGCCATGTGAGATGTGACCAGCCTTTGTGGGCTTTGAGGAAGGAGGAAGGGGACCAGGAGCGAAGGAATGTGGGAGCCTCTAGAAGCTGAGAAAAGTGAGAAGCAGATTCTTGCCTGGAATCCTCAGAGGGAAGGCAGCCTTGCTGTCACCTTGATTTTAGCCCAGTGAGATGCACTTCATACTTTGAGCTACAGCACTGCAAGATAATTAAAAAACCGTTTTGTTTTCACCCACGAATCTTGTGGAAATTTGTTATGGCAACAATAGGAAAAGCTTCCACACTGCACAGCCTGAGCATGGGGCCGTGGCTGAATGAGTCAGTGAGTCGAAGTGTGCGTGCATGAGCTCTGTTCTCTGTTACAGCAAGGCTCTTTCTCTGCTGAGTCAGCCAGGGTTGCTTCATGACCTATAGGAGCTCATTCCTTGGCAAGTGGAACTTCTCTAAAACACCTCGCCCTCATCAGATGTTCCCTTCCCTTCCCTCTCTCAAGTCTCCAGGAATTTATCCTCCAGTTAGGAATGCAGGCAGAACAAACATTGCATTTTTCCTGAGAAGGATGTCAGATTGGCAATCATTCTTCTAGCTTGTAGGAGGTCTCAGCTCCATAAAATGAGAGATGAAGAGATTTCACTGAGCCCTGTGTTGGGCCCAGATCCCTTTCGCTGTAGGAGTATCTGGAGTTCGGAGATGGTGGAAGACAGGGGTACAATGTCAGAGCTGTGAGATGCTGAGTCAACGCCTGAATCCAAGGTTTCCACCTCCCCAGGTTTCCAAAAGCGGATATAAGAGGGTTCTGTACTCACCGGTTTTGGAGCTTGGTTCAGTGGGTGAAGGCCAACTATTTGAAGGGTTTCCTAGAATATGAGACAGGAGAGAGGTGAGGAAATGAGGGTGTCTGTCCTCTACTCAGTGGAAATCTTTGAGGATGGTTCATGGCCAACACTCTGTTATCTAATATTGGGCCCTGGGAGTCCTGGGATCCTTTTTTCCATAATTTTTGTATGTGACGCCCACTGTCTTGAGACTTCAAGGTATAAAGAGAAAACAGGAGCATCACACTACCTGATCTCAAAATATGTTACAGAGCTGTAGTAAGCAAAACAGCATGACATTGGCATAAAGAAAGGCACATAGAACAATGGAGCAGAATGAATAACACAGATATATTCCATGCATTTACATCCAATGGTTTTTTATTTTTTCTTTTGAGATGGAGTCTTGCTCTGTCACTCAGGCTGGAGTGCAGAGGTGCAATCTCAGTTCACTGCAACCTCAGCCTCCTGGGTTCAATCATTCTCTTGCCTCAAACTCCTGAGTAGTGGTATTACAGGTGCTGACCACCATGCTCAGCTAATTTTTATATTTTTAGTGGAGACGATGTTTCATCACGTCGGCCAGACTGATCTTGAACTCCTGGCCTCAGGTAATCCACCCGCCTCGGCCTCCCAAAGTGCTGGAATTGCAGGTGTGAGCCACCAAGCCCAGCCCATCCAATGGACTTTGACAAAGGTGCCAAGAACTCACAATCAGGAAAGGACAGTCTTTTCAATAAACAGTGCAGGGAAACCTGGACATCTACATGCAGAGGAATGAAACTGCACCTCTACCTGTCACCATACACAAAAATCAAATGAAAATGGATTAAAGATGTGAGTCTAAGGCCTGAACCTATGAAACACGTAGAAGAAATATTGGGGAAATGCTCCAGGACGTTTGTCTGAAGGAAGACATTTTGTTTTAAACCTTGAAAACACAAGTAATCGAAGCAAAAATAGACCATTGGGATTACCTCAAACTAAGCAACTTCTGCACTGCTAAAAATAAACCAACAAAGTGAAGAGACAACCCACAGATTGGGAGCAAATATGTGCAAACTATGCATCTGAGATGGGATTAATAACTAGAAATATAAGAAGCTCAAACAACTCAATAAAACAAATGATTTAATTGAAAAAGGAGCAAAAGACATGAAATTTCCCCACATATGAAAAAGTGCTCAGTATCACTCATCATCAGAGAAATGCAAATTAAAATCAAAGTGAGTTTTCATCTCACCCCATTAAAATGGCTTTTAGGCCGGGTGAGGTGGCTCACGTCTGTCATCCTAGAACTTTGAGAGCCTGAGGTGGGTGAATCTCATAAGGTCGGGAGTTTGAGACCAGTATGACCCACATAGAGAAACGCTGTCTCTACTAAAAATACAAAAATTAGTCGGGCGTGGTGGCGTGTGCCTGTAATTCCAGCTACTCGGGAGGCTGAGGCAGGAGAATCGCTTGAACCTGGGAGGTGGAGGTTGTGGTGAGCCGAGATAGCGCCACTGCACTCCAGCCTGGGTGAGAAGAGCAAAACTCCATCTCAAAATAAAATGAAATAAATAAAATGGCTTTTAGCTGCAAGACAGGCAAAAGAAATGCTGGCAAAGTGCTAGAGAAAGGAGAACCCTGGTACCCTGTTGGGAGGAGTGTAAATTAGTACAGCGATTACGGAGAAAAGTATGGAAGTCCTTTAAAGAACTAAAAAGAGGTTGGGTGTGGTGGATCAGGCCTGTAATCCCGGCACTTTGGGAGACTGAGGCGGGCACCTCAGTTGAGGTCATGAGTTTGAGAGCAGCCCAGCCAACATGGGGAAACCGCATCTATACTAAAAAAACCAAAAAGTAGCCAGGCATGGTGGCGTGCACCTGTAATCCCAGCTACTAGGGAGGCTGAGGCAGGAAAATCATTGGAACCCAGGAGGCGGAGGTTGCAATGAGCCAAGGTCGCACCACTTTGACTCCAGCTTGGGCTAAGGAGGGAAACTCTTTCTCAAAAAAGAAAAAAAAAAAAAAGAGAACTTTCATAGTATCCAGCAATTTCACTACTGGGTTTATATCCAAAGGAAAGTAAATCAATATATCGAAGTGATATCTGCACTCGTATGATTGGTGCAGCACTGTTCACAGTAGCCAAGATGAGGAGTCAACCTACCTGCCCATCAGTGGGTGAATGGATAGAGAGAATGTAGTACATACGCACAGTGGAGACTACTCATCCATAGAAAGAATAACATCCTGTCATTTGCAGCCACATGGATGGAACTGGAGGTCATTACAAAGATTCCCATTTCTCACCCATATACAGGAGCTAAAAGGTGGATCTCATGAAGGTAGAGAGTAGAATGGTGGCTACTGGAGGGCAGGAAGAAAAGGGTGGAGGGTAAAAAAAATGTATATATATATATATATATAAATGTATTTATGACCACTAGACTTTACACTTAAAAATGGTAAATGTGGCTGGGCGTGGTGGCTCATGCCTGTAATCCCAGCACTTTGGGAGGCAGATGCGGGTGGATCACGTGGTCAGGAGTTGCAGACCAGCTCGACCAACATGGTGAAACCACCTCTCTACTAAAAATACAAAAAGTAGCCTGGCGTGGTGGTGCGCACCTGTAGCACCAGCTACTCAGGTGGCTGAGGCAGGAGAATCGCTTGAACCCAGGAGGCGGAAGTTGCAGTGAGCTGAGATTGTGCCACTGCACTCCAGCATAGGGGACAGAGCTAGACTCTGCCTCAAAAAAAAAAAAATGTTAAAGGTGGTAAGCTATATAGGTATATTTATCCTCAATAAATATTTCTTCAAACAAAAGTAAAGGGTGTAGGGGTTGCTGGTGATGACATCTCTGTGTGGGTGAGAGGCCAGGATGGGCTTCTGGGAAATGGGTAAGGTTGAGGGGCTGAGGGAACCTCTGATCTCCCCAAACTGAGCCCAGTCTCCCTCCTCTGGGTCTCTCCTGACCGCTTTCTCCATCTGCCTGGGTGCCTGGAGCCC
The DNA here is from genome assembly GCF_000001405.40 of Homo sapiens. Classification (NCBI taxonomy): domain Eukaryota; kingdom Metazoa; phylum Chordata; class Mammalia; order Primates; family Hominidae; genus Homo; species Homo sapiens. The sequence continues at coordinate 87,356 of NT_187675.1, read as the reverse complement.
TGGCTGCGGGCCTCCATGCAGGCCATGTAGGAGGGTTTGGAGGTGCCCTGTCGGCCATCCTGTGCCCTGATCCCTCCCTCACACCGAGGATGCATCTTCTCTCTGCATCTGTCCATGCTTCTCTCCATCCTCAGCAGGAAGCTCCTCAGCTAAGGCTCTAGGATCATAGGACATGGGACAGCCATGGGCTTTCCTCACCTGTGACAGAAACAAGCAGTGGGTCACTTGACTTTGACCACTCGTAGGGAGAGTCATGGAAAGAGCCGAAGCATCTGTAGGTTCCTCCTTGGGTGGCAGGGCCCAGAGGAAAGTCGGCCTGGAATGTTCCGTTGACCTTGGGCCCTGCAGAGAACCTACGTTCATGGGCCTCCCCCTCCGTGGATAGATGGTACATGTCATAGGAGCTCCAGGAGCTGCAGGACAAGGTCACGCTCTCTCCTGCCAGAACCGTGGGGCCCGGCTGGGCTGAGAGAGAAGGTTTCTCATATAGACCTGGAAGGAGAAGAGGCATTTTCCTTATGGAGGATCTTCCTTGTCACAGCTCCCTTCACCTGAGCTGAGAACTCACTCCCCTGCTCTATGACCTAATGCTCTCTCTCTCTCTCTCTCACCCTCCACCCCATCTCTCTTCATGTCTATTTCCTCCTTCCACCTTCTCTGTCTCTCTAGGTCTCTGACCTCGCTTCCCCACCTCTAGATATGTTTTCCGTTTTTGGATTGTTTTATTCTCTCTGACTCTCCTTGGATTGGTTGACTTGATGTTACTTTTTTAAATTCTAAGTTTCTCACTTTGTGTCCTGTTCATAACTTTCTGCATATTTCTATCTATTATCTGTTGATCTATCTATTTATCTATTCGGTGCCTATCTACAAATTCTCTACTTGTCATCTATATCTATATATCATCTATGTATCTATCACTTGTCTATCTATCCATCAATCATCTGTTATCTATATCTATGTATCATCTCTCTCTCTATGACTTCTGTCTGCCTCTCTATCTCTATGTATTATCTATCTGTCTTCATCATCATCTCTACGTCTCATCTATTAATGAATCAATCAATCATCATCTATGTATCTATAACCTAGTATCTATCATCTACCTATTTATCATCTATCTATATCTATCCATCTATCATCTGTCTTGCTCTGCCTCTCGGTCTCTCTAGTTCTCTTTGGAATCTCTGCAATTCATCCCCACATCTCCATCTTTCTATGTCCTTGTGCCTCTCCCTCAGGACTCTAATTTTAGTGCTTTTCTCTGCTCCCTTCCATCATTCTCACCACTCCTCTGCCCTCTTTTCTCTCTCTTTATGTGTCTGTGAGTCTCTCAATCTCCTTCCTCTGGCCCATTCTCTGTGTGTTTATGTCTTTGCTTTTTGGTGTTCCTGATTTTTCTCTGTGCCTCTCAGTGATCCTTTCATATGTGGGGTTATTTGGAATGTGAGCCTCAGAATCCAGTCTGGAGACTACAAGTTCACACAGCATACAGGGGTTGGTGTTCTGGGGCCATGATATCCTGGGACGATTACTCTCCATTACTTGGAAGGCAGAGGTGTCAGAATAAACACGGCATCTGTAGGTGCCAGAAGGCCTGAGGCCACAGGGCCCAACTCAGGTCAGAAATATGGGTGTCCTTGGGTTCTCCTGGTAGAGAACACTTTGTGGAGGTAAAACAGAAATGAAACTTGTAATCTGTGCCAGGTCTCTGAGCAAAGTCAGCATGGAGGGACACCTCTCTCTGGGACATGTCTGTCTGTCTGTCTCCTTTAACTCCTTCTGTCTTTTCTAACTCTCGGAATGGCCCCTGTGTCTGTCCTCTGTTATGACACCTGGTCTGTACTTGTGTCTCCTGTTTCTCTGTCTCTGTTGGTACAGACCTCACCAAGTCAGTCTCTCTCCATAAGAATACCAAGCTCATCTTCCTTACAACCACCTGGGCCTCCAAGTCCTGGATCATTCACTCTGTGTCCGAATGACAATGAGAAGAATGTCTGGACACTCTCACCTGTGATCACGATGTCCAGAGGGTCACTGGGAGCTGAAAACTGATAGGGGGAGTGAGGAACAGAACCGTAGCATCTGTAGGTCCCTGCCAGGTCTTGCCTCATGCGACCGATGGAGAAGTTGGCCTTGGAGACCCCATCAATGTGCTCTCCAATGAGGCGCAAAGTGTCGTTAAACGTCCCCTCTCTGTGCAGAAGGAAGTGCTCAAACATGACATCTGACCAACATTGCAGGATGACTGTCTCTTCTGATTTCACCAGGCGACCTGGGTGGGCCAGGAGGGAAGGTTTTCTGCGGAATCCTAGGAAGAGAGTTTGTGAATTTAGAAGGTGTCTCTCTTTATCATCCCATCCATGGCACCTGGATTGAGTGAGGCTTCCCCTCCCTGGTGTCTGTCTCTCTCCTTCCTCTCTGTGTCTTCATGTTCTTTTCTGTGCCCATAACTCCTGGTGCAGGTCCTTCCATCTGTCTCCCTCCCTCTTCTCTGTCCCTCTGTCTCTAGTAACCTCTGATTGCCTTGCCGCTGGGCTCAGCCTCATCTCTTCGGCTGTTGTATCTATTTTGAACTAATGTCTTTCCTGCTGTCTATGTGGGGGTGGAAGAGGAACCAGGATAGGCTGCACATCCAGGCTCTTAGCAGCCTGGTTCAATCTCTTTTGGACGAATTGGAATCCTTGGCAGGAGGTATGAACTGAACAGTAAGGCAGGCACCAGTGTCCACACACCCTTTTCCTGGTGGGGACTGGGAGCCACTCTTGCCATGCCTGTACCAGCTTCCATAGCCTGGCTCCTGGTGCTGGTTGGAGGAGTATCAACCGCTCCCTATGTGGATGGAGCCTGGTGGTGGCATCATAATCCCACACTTGCTGATCTTGGTGTAGCCAACCTTCTCCTTGTTTGGTTTCTTTAATTAATTAATTTTGGAGACAGAGTCTCACTCCTTTGCCCAGGCTGGAGTGAAGTGGTGTGGTCTAGGCTCACTGCAACCTCTGTCTCCTGGGTTCAAGTGATTCTCCTGCCCTCAGCCTCCCAAGTCGCTAGGATTACATGCACCTGCCACCACGCCCGGCTATCCTTGTGTCCTTTCTTAACTTTTCCTCGAGCTGGGTTCCGGTGTTGGTTTCCTGTTGCTGCTGTAGAAAATTATCAGCAGCATGGCAGCAGGAGAGAGCACACTGACCCCTTCCATTTTTGGAGGCAGAAGTCGGGCCCTGTTTTTCCTGGGCTAAAATCAAGGCACCTGCAGGGCTTCGTTCCCTCTGGAGACTCAGGAGAATCAGTTCCTTGACTTTTCCAGCCTCTATAGGCCACCTGCATTCATGGCTCCTGGCCTTCCTCCACCTTCAAAGCTGATGGAGACTCCCATTATGCTGCTCTAATCCCCACTCTCCTCTTCCTCCTCCTTTCATGTGGACCCTTGTGACTACACTGAGCCCAGGGGGACAGTCCAGGCCTTCTCCCATCTCAAGGTCAACTCATCAACAACCTGAGCTCCATCTTCCCCTTCAGTCCCTTCCCCTATAACATAAATAGTCACAGACTCCAGGGATTAGAATGTAGTCATCACTGGGGACAATTATTCTTCTCACCACAGTACCCATTTCCCTGTATTCAATCCCCCTTTACCCCAAATACAGTCAGGGCCTGCGTGAAGGGACCCTCAAGGACATGCCTACCGGAAGCTCTGGGATTCAGGAGGTGGGACAAGGAGAATCCCAGACAGGAGCCCTCTGACCTGTGACCATGATCAGCAGGGGGTTGCTGGGTGCCGACCACCCACTGGGGGAGTGTGGGTGTGAACCCCGGCATCTATAGGTCCCTGTGTGTGACGGGGTCACAGGGCCCATGAAAAGGCTTTTCCAGAATATTCTGTTGTAGTGTTCAGGGACAGGCACCCCATCATCCTTGTACAGACTGAAGTTGTTAAACCCAAGATTAGAGTGACACCGAAGAGTCACATGTTCTGGAGGCACCACAAGGCTGGGCCAGGTAGAAAGCAAGGGCTTGTCCTGACCACCTTGGGGAGAAGGAGGCGCCACCTTAGAGAGGAGGATGTGCAGCCGCCCCTCCCTCCCTGTGCTCAGAAGATTCTCCCCACTTTCCACATTTCTATGGCTGCTATCACACCTTGGTGCCTAGGGCTAAAGGAAGGACTCATCCCACAAAGACAAGGTGTCTCCCTACAACAAAAATGTCAGCTGAGAACTTTGAGCAAGTGCTGAGTAAGAGACTCCTACTAGATTTTAATACTGTAAGATTACTCACATAAAACAACACAGGGTAGACATGGGGTGGAGGGCATGTCCTTTGAGAATGGAATATCAGCAGATGCCTGAATGAAAATAAACAACTGAGCCCCCATCAGAGGATTTGGAATGTCAGGGCCATGGCTGTGGTTTCCCACCTCTTCTGGTAGAATGAGAGCAGCCACACTGCAGCCCCTACCATCATGGAAACGCTGAAGTGTGTGAGTAACACCTTTGTCCTCAGAGGATCTGCTGTTCCTACCACTTCCCCACCACACAACCCAGCTTTGAGCACCCTAGTGTAACCCTGGTCCCCACAGAACTTGACTCTGCCAAGGAAATGAAAGGCTGGGGAGGCGAGGTCGGAACTGTGGGCCAAGCACCCCAGGGTCCCCTCTTTCTAGTTTAAGAGAGACTCCCCGACAGGACTTCCCTCCCGTTTCAGGAAAATCCTCTTATGTGGGGAGATGACACCTTAAGGTTTGGAGAAGGACTTACCCTCATGTGGCCAGGCCCCCTGCAGCCAGAAGAACCCTGGAAAGAAAGACCATGATGGACCATCCATCTGCAGGCAAACCAGGCCTCCCTTGCTATCCCCACTAGGCTGTGAGTCTTGGTAGCCAGGCCCTTCCTGGGCCGAAGGGAAACTCACCCTCAGTGCCTACCTGCACCCAAGAACAGGGCTCTCGGCTGTGCAGAGACCCAGCCTCCAGGCCCATATCCCCACCCCAAGCCCATATCTCCACTCCAGGCACATATCTCCACTCCAGGCTGATATTCCCACCCTAGGCCCATATAGCCAATCTGGGCCCACATCTGCAATCCAGGCTCAGATCTCCACCCCAGGCCCATAACTCCAGTCCAGGCCCATATCTCCACTCCAGGCCCATATCTCCTCTCCAGGCCCATATCTCCACTCCAGGCCCATATCTCCACCCCGGGCCCAGATCTCCACCTCCAGGCCCATAACTACATTCCAGGATCATATCTCCACTCCAAGCCCATATCTCCACAACAGGCCCATATCTCCACTCCAGTCCCATATCTCCACCCCACGCCCATATCTCCATTCCAGGCCCATATCTCCACTCCAGGCCCATATCTTCACCACACGCCCATATCTCCACTCCAGGCCCATATCTCCACCCCACGCCCATATCTCCACTCCAGTCCCATATCTCCACTCCACGCCCATATCTCCACTCCAGTCCCATATCTCCACCCCATGCCCATATCTGCACTCCAGTCCCATATCTCCACCCCACACCCATATCTCCACTTCAGTCCCATATCTCCACTCAAGGCCCATATCTCCACCCCACGCCCATATCTCCGCTCCAGGCCCATATCTCCACTCCAGGCCCATATCTCCAACCTCCAGGCCCATATCTCCACTCCAGGCCCATATCTCCATCTCCAGGCTCATATCTCCACTCTAGGCCCATATCTCCACTCCAGGCCCTTATGTCCACCTCCAGGCCCATATCTGCACTCCAGACCCACATCTCCACTCCAGGCCCATATCTGCACTCCAGGCCCCTATCTCCACTCCAGGGCCATATCTCCACTCCAGGCTCATATCTCCACTCCAGGCCCATATCTCCAATCCAGGCCCAGATCTCCACTCCAGGCCCAGATCTCCACCTCCAGGCCCATATCTCCACTCTAGGCCCATATCTCCACTCCAGGCTCATATCTCCACTCCAGGTCCATATCTCCACCTCCAGGCCCATATCTCCACTCCAGGCCCATAACTCCACCTCCAGGCCTATATCTCCACCTCTGGGCCCAGATCTCCATCCCCGCGCTCCCTCCCTCTATTCCCTTCCAGGACTCACCAACACATGCCATGCTGATGACCATGAGCGACATGGTGGTGCCGGAGCAGACAGGCGGCCGCACCCCTAGCTCAGCTCAGCAGCGCACAGGATGTTATTTGGCTCCCTGCCCATGCAGTTTACATGTTGACCACATCATGGGAGGGTGACGTACGCAGGCTCTTTCTACCTTTCATGAGGCCCAGTGGGTGCTCGCTCAAGAGCAGAACACGGCTTCCTGGAAATTGTTCTCACTAGAATTGACACCTCGTGTCCTTCACTATGACCAACTCAAAACACGTCTCAGATCCAACCTCCGGAACACAGGATGCCTAAAATCTGTGCTAACGTGAAAAACTTTTCATGTATTTTTATTGTTTTTATCTGAGATTCAAACTCTTCTTCATGTGTAATATGCAAAATATCTAATAGGTATTATTAATGTTTTCAGAGTCATTGTGACTAATAAACCATTAGAATTTTTCATGCTTGTATTTCTAGTATTACAGCAGAACCAGTTAAAATGATTTAAATTCCCAGGGAAGGATTATGCAATTATTTACAATCTTCGAATTGTACTTTATCAGCAAAAACCACACATGTAAATTCTGGATTTTTATAGTTTTATCTATAATTTGTCTCATGACCCAAGATTCCAGAGTCCCAACTCTGGAGTTTGCTCTCTCTCTGTCTCTGTCCCTCCCTCATTTTAAATTTTACAGAAATATCCAGTAACATAATGCTATAGAAAATCAAGTTTCCCCCAGCATGTTGGGAAGCCGCGGTGGGCGAATCAACTGAGATGAGGAGTTTGAGAGCAGCCTGGCCAACATAGTGAAACCGTGTCTCTGCTAAACATTCAAAAATTAGCCGTGCCTGGTGGCAGACACCTGTAATGCCAGCTACTCAAGAGGCTGAGGCACGAGAATCGCTTGAACCTGGGAGGCGGAGTTTGCAGTGAGCTGAGATTGCACTACTACAGTCCAGCCTGGGTGACAGAGCAAGATTCCGCCTTAAGAAAAAAAAAATAGCAAGTAGCCTATAATAACAAATTAGAGGGCTCTGGCTACTAAATTTAAAGGGTTCTATAAGGCTACATGAAGTGCAGCATCCTCAAGAGTGTGGACACAGAGAGCCCCTTAGCAGAAACAGTGTCTAAAATACATCCGTGTACACACAGTCCCTTTAGAGTTGACAAAGGCTGCCCTGTGGTTTAAGGTGGCATAGAATGTCTTCTCAATAAATAATATTAAACCAAAGGGTTACACGTAGGAAAAAATAAATCTAAACTTATTCTCACACTATAAAAACACTTCTTGTTTTTATCTAGTTTATAATTTTTTTATGATTTATATTTAAAATTGAGAAATAACAGTTTTATACGGTCATCCTTCACTATTCCTGGGTGATTGGTTTCAGGATCTCCACTCAGATACCAAAATCTGCAGATGCTCAAGCCTCTTACATGAAATGGCACAGCATTTGCATATAACCCATGCACATCCTCCTGTGTACATGAAATCATCTCTAGATTACTTATAATTCCTGATATGGCCTACACACTGCTTCATTTGTGTCCCTTCAACATAGTTTTGCTTTTTGAAAGTTTGTGGATTTTCTTCTCTGAATATTTTTTATTTATAGTTGGTTCAATAAACACCTGTAAACCCCACAGATACGGAGGAGCGACTGTATATATATATATAGCATGAAAGATGATGTGTTGATATGTGTCCCCATGGAGATGAGACTAACAAGGCCTATGACTCTACAAATGTTTCATCGTGGAATGACTCTGCCAGCTTTCCAGGTCTGCAGAGAGTAAGAATATCACTTGTTCATGTGATTCATGATCCTTGGAACCTCCTATGTGCTGCATCTTTGGATGGAAATTGGAGTCCCAGAGACAAATGAGGCTCCACCCTGCTTCCAGAAGCTCAGAGTCCAGGGGAGAGAACCCAGTGGATAACAGATGGGGTTATGTGGACATGGTAATGATAACAGCGGTTTCTTTCAGCGAATAGTGTCACATTACCTAAAGCAATGAGGGCAGACATGTTTATTTGAAAAGGAGACAGCTACATTGAAATCACAAAAAATTTTATAAGTTTCACTGCTGACTGACAGAAGGCTGGAAAATAGTCTGAGGAAAGGTGAAACAGCATGAGGGAAGGTGGAACAGCACGTGTCTCAGTGCCATGTTAAGAGGGAGCCTCTTGTATGTCTGGAATTGTGAGTTCCTCAGTGTGATTGCAGCCTCAAGTAGACTAGGAAGTAAGCCAGTTCAGTTGGAGAGGTGGGCAGGGGTCAAGTGAAATAGAGAATTGTGGGCTAAGCAAAGGTGTGTGTCTTCTCTCCAGCAGGCAGTGGGGACCTTAGACATTTGTAAGCAAGAGAGAGGCATGTTCAGATTTGTGGTGTGAGGAAGAGCGATCCCCTAAGATGAAGACTGATGCCTTCAGATTCCAGCTGCTGGTACATGGGAGCTAGCAACCCGGTTTTGAGACAGGGCTGTTGTCTCCCTAGAAGATCCCCTCAAGGCCTGACTGTGGTGCTTATGGGCAGGAGACAATGATCTTGGCTTAGCATTTGGAAGTTCCATGTACATGGTGGTATCTGTTGGAGGTGTCTTGGGCCTCTGAGAAGGGGAAGTGATTTTTGTCTGTGTGAAAACGCAGTGATCCAACTGTGCATATGTCACCTCCTGAGGGTCTTGATCATCAGAGTCCTGGAGAGAGGGAAATGCTGAGTGAGGGAGGGTGCTCACATTCTTCAAGACTATTAGGGAATGAGACTCAATCCATGAGGCTGGGCTGAGGAGAACCTACCTCCCTGTTCACTGTTCTGTCCCCGGCAGGCTCTTGGTCCATTACAGCAGCATCTGTAGGAGATAGAAGTCATCAAAACAGCTGGAAGGGCACTTTTGGGTCCTCATTTCATGAGCAGACACCAACACACAGCGGGAGGCCGTAGGTGCCTGAGGTCCCTCAGCTGTCATCAGCCAGACCCAGACATTCTATCTCTCTGAGCTCAAGGACCCATCCCATGAATAGCTCTGAGTTCCCATCCCAGTGATTCTGTCTCCCCTTTCTGCCTGTCATGGAACCTTCTCCTGGATGTCAGTGGCTGCAGGGGACGTGAGGATACAGTTCAGAATCAGGCAATGGTCTGTGAGCTGAAGGCAGGGGCAGGGTGTCTGGTGCTCTCTCTAGAAAGCCCTGCCTCTGTGGCTCCTGCCTTGGTCCAGGGACCATCCTGCCAGTCAGGAACACACACCAGTGTGCTCCCATCCTGCTTCCCCACATGGTCCTGAGCTCTCTGACCTCTGCTTCGTGAGACTTACTCTTTTTGTTGGAGCAGCAGCAATGAAGGAGAAAGAAGAAGAGGATGATGAAGAGGATGATAGCCACTGAGGTCCCAATCAGAATGTGCAGGTGTCTGCGGATACCTGGGGGAAGGTGGGAATCCAATAAGAAGCTAATTATAGCAGTTCCTCTTTATGGATTGTCTCTCATTTCTTGGTTGCCAGCTAAGCACATACAACATCTGTTTAGGACAAGTTCCCCGATGGCAGGATACCCAGCTTTCTCCTGCTTTCTCAGTTATAGTTCTCAAAATAATCAGAGAACATGCTGGGGATACCACTGCTATAGTTTGAATGTTTGACCCCGCCAAACCTCACGTTGACACTTATCTCGCAGTGTGGGAGGCTGGGCCTATTGAGAGACGTTCCAGTTATGGGGGTGGATCCATCATGAATACATTAATGCTGTCCCCATGAGACGTGGTTGGCAAGTTCTCCATGAGGTCCCTAGGACTGGTTGCTAAAAAGAGCATGGGGTTTCTCCATGTTGGCCAGGCTGGTCTCAAACTCCTGACCTCAAGTGATCCAAACGCCTTGGCCTCCCAAAGTGTTGGGTTACAGGCGTAAGCTCCCATTCACAGACTTGTATATTATGCTATAATAAGTCCCTTCATTTGCACCACCCCTCATCTATCTATCACTCCTCTGCCAGATATTGATTTACATGTAGGAAAAATAAATCTCAGAAAGAAATTAATATATTCAAAATTAAATAAGTAGGCATTATCAAATCCAGCAAGACCTCCCTACAAATGATTCTACCTCACAGACATATCTTATACCCATCTACTTCATTCATTTAGTGTCTAAATCAGCACCACATTTCACCAGTGGGGCGGGAATTGCCTTTTCCACGGTCTCCTAGATTCCAGTTACGCACTTGGGCGTCCCTTATTTTCATGTCAGTCATATTAATCATGTAGGGATTCCTGGTTACCCCGAGGTGAATCCAATGGCTGTGAGTGTCAAACACACGCTCCTTGTTGCTCCTTAGTTTCCTGTGTACCCAGTGTGCTCTCCGTCTCCCTACAGTCATCTTGTCATTCTCCCCACGTCATTCCCAGCATTTGAATGCAGAGCCTCTTCCTTCCACATCAGATTGTTTTCACATTTGTGCCTTCACGGCTGACAGCTGTGTGTGGAAAATCCTTCCGCCCATCTTCCAGGGGTTGAATCTACTTTTTTTTTTCATTATGGTCACAAATATTATCTGATTAGTGAGACTTTCTCTGTCTCCTGAAATTATACACTTAGAATTCTTTATTATTTATTTTAAATTTCGGCTGGGCGCAGTGGCTCACGCCTTGAGTCCCAGCATTTTGGGATGCTGAGACGGTCGGATCACTTGAGGTTGGGAGTTGGAGACAATCTGCGCAACATGGTGAAACTCCATCTCTACTAAAAAATATAAAAGAAAATTAGCTGGGTGTGGTGGAGGGGACTGGAATCACAACTAGTCAGGAGGCTGAGGCAGGAGAATCGCCTGAACCCGGGAGGCGGAGGTTGTGGTGAGCTGAGGTCATGCCACTGCACTCCAGCCCGGGGACAGAGAATGACTTCGCCGCAAATAAATAAATACATAAATAGATAAATAGATAAATAAATAGGTAAATAGATTTCATGCACGGATGCTTCCCAATGGATCAATCATTACTGGTCCACTTGTGCATTCATATTCTGCCCTCCCATTTGCCCATCTGCAATGTCAGTGTCCTAAGAGCAGAGGCCAAATGCATCGTGTTTACCATTTGTGGAAGGCAGGAGAATGCTGGCCCACCCCCAAAATGTCCCTGTCCTAGCCTCCATAGCTTGTGAATATGTTATTTTACATGAAAGGAGGAATAAAGATTGCAGATGGAATTATGGTTGCTAATCAGCTGAACTTAAAAAGAGGTTATCTTGGGTGATTTTAGGGAGATTGTGATGGATTATCTTGGTAAACTCAATAGAATCCCAAAGTCTTTAAAAGAGGAAGAAAAAGTCAGAGCAACACTTAGAGAAAGAGGTGAGGTAAGGAAGAGGGATCTGAGTGATGCCACGTGAGAGATGTGACGAGCTTTTGTGGACTTCGAGGAAGGAGGATGGGGACCAGATGCCAAGGAACGTGGGAACCTCTGGGAGCTGGGAAATGTGAAAAGCCGATTCTCGCCTGGAACCTTCAGAGAAAAGGCAGCCTCGCAGTCACCTTGATTTTAGCCCAGTGAAATGCATTTCATATTTCTGAGCTATAACACTGTAAGATAATTTTAAAAGCTGTGTTGTTGTCATCCATGAAGTTTGTGGAGATTTATTATGGCAACAGCAGGAAAGGGTTCCACACTGTACAGTCAGAGCACAGGGCAGTGGCTGAATAAGTGAGTGAGTGGAAGTGTCATATTCGTGGATGAACTACGTTCCTTCTTACTGCAAGGCTCTTGCTCTGCTGACTCAGCCAAGGTCGCATCATGACCAACAGGGGCTCATTCCTTGGCAAGTGGAACTTCTCTAAATCACCTTTCCCTCATCAGATGTTCCCTTCCCCTCCCTCTCTCAAGTCCCCTCGAATTTATCCTCCAATTTGGAATGCAGGCAGAAAAAACACCACATTATCCCTGAGAAGGATGTCAGATTTGTACTCGTCCGTCTAGCTTGGAGGAGGTCTCAGCTGCAGAAATTTGAAATGAAGAGACTTCACTGAGCCCTTTGCTGTCCTCAGATACCCTTCGCTGTTGTAGTGTCTGGGGGTCAGAGATGTTAGAAGACAGGCCCACAATCACAGAGCTGGGAGGTGCTGAGCCAATGCTTGAATCCAAGATACCAACCTCCCCAGGTTTCCAAAAGCAGAGATAAGAGGGATCTTTACTCACCAGTTTTGGAGCTTGGTTCAGTGGGTGAAGATGAACTACTTGAAGAGTTTCCTAGAACACAGGACAGGAGAGAGGTGAGGAAATGAGGATGCCTGTCTTCTACTCAAAGGAAATCTTTGAGGTTGGTTCATGGCCAACACTCTGTTATCTAATGTTGGGCCCTAGGAGTCCTGGCGTCCCCTTCTCCATCATCATTGTTAAATGATGCCCAGTGTCCTGAGATTTCGAGGTATAAAGACAAAACAGGTGCTGGAGGCCTCACACTCCCTGACTTAAAAATATGTTACAAAGCTGTAGTAAGCACAACAGCATGACATTGGCATAAAGGCCCTTAGAGCAATGGAGCAGAATGAAGAACACAGATATAATTCATGCATTCACATCCAATGGACTTTGACGATTGTAGGTGCCAAGAACCTGCAATCAGGAAACGACGGTCTTTTCAATAAATGGAGCAGGGAAAACTGGTATCTACATGCAGTTGATGAAACTGCACCTCTACCTCTCACCATACACAGAAATCAAATGAAAATGGAAGAAACACTTAAGGCCTGAAACCATTAAGCGTCTAAAAGGAAAGAGTGGGGAAATGCTCCAGGACATTTGTCTGAGGAAAGACATTTTATTTGAAATCTCAAAAACACAAGAAATCAAAACAAAATAATAGACCTTCGGGATTACATCAAAGTAAGCAGCTTCTGCACCGCAAAGGAAGCAACCAACAAAGTGAAGAAGAGACAAATTGGGAGAAAATATTTGTGAAGTATGCATCTGAGAGGGGATTAATAACTAGAATATACATAAAACTCAAGCAACGGTATAAAACAATGAATTTAATTTAACAATTAGTAAAAGACCTGAACAGACATTTCTCAACAAACAAAACGTACAAATGGCGAACATGTACATGAAAAAGTGCTCAGTATCACTAATCATGCCAATTGAAATCACAGTGAGCTATCATCTCATCCCATTAAAGTGGCTTTTATCTGAAACACAGACAAAATGAATGCTGGCAAGGTGGTAGAGAAAGGAGAACCCTGGTACCCTGTTGATAGGATCTAGCAATTCCACTACTGGGTGTAAACCCAAAGGGAAGGACATCAGTGTATCGAAGTGATATCTGCACTCATACGATTGGTGCAGCACTGTTCACAGTAGCCAAGATGTGGAGTCAACTTACCTGCCCGTCAGTGGGTGAATGGATAGAGAGAATGTAGTACACACACACAGTGGAGAGTACTCATCCGTAGAAAGAATAACATCCTGACATTTGCAGCCACATGGATGGAACTGGAGGTCATTGCAAAGATTCCCATTTCTCACCCATATACAGGAGCTAAAAGGTGGATCTCATGAAGGTAGAGAGTAGAATGGTGGCTACCAGAGGGCAGGAAGTAAAGGGTGGAGTGTAACAACAACAATAAAAAAGAATATAGATGTATTTATTTATTTAGAGACAGAATCTCTCTCTGTCTCCCAGGCTGCAGTGCAGTGGCCTGATCTCAGCTCAGTGCAACCTCTGCCTCCTGGGCTTACGTACTTCTCCTGCCTCAGCCTCCCATGTAGCTAGGAATACAGGTGCATGCCAGCATGCCCAGCCAATTTTTCTTGTCTGTTTAGTAAAGATGAATTTCCCTCATGTTGGCCAGGCTGATCTCGAGCCTCTGATCTTAAATGATCCACCTTCCTTGGCCTCTCAAAGCACCGAGATTATAACTGTGAGCCACTGCACCCTGCATATAAAGGAATTTATGACCACTAGATTTTACTTTTAAAAATGGTAAAGGTGGCAAATTATATAGTTACATTTAACCTCAATAAATGTTTTTTCAAACGGAAAGAAAAGGGTGTAGGGGTTGCTGGTGATGACATCTCTGTGTGGGTGAGAGGCCAGTATGGGCTTCTGGGAAATGGGTAAGGTTGAGGGTCTGAGGAGCCTCTGATCTCCCCAAACTGAGCCGAGTCTCCCTCCTCTGGGTCTGTCCTGACCACTTTCTCCATCTGCCTGGGTGCCTGGAGCCCTGGCCGCGGGCCTCCATGCAGGCCGTGCAGGAGGGTTTGGAGGTGCCCTGTCTGCCATCCTGTGCCCTGATCCCTCCCTCACACCATGCTGCGTGTTCTCTCTGCATCTGTCCATGCTTCTCTCCATCATCAGCAGGAAGCTCCTCAGCTAAGGCTCTAGGATCACAGGACATGGGACAGGCATGGGCTTTCCTCACCTGTGACAGAAACAAGCAGTGGGTCACTCGGGTCTGACCACTCATAGGGTGAGTCATGGAGAGAGCTGAAGCATGTGTAGGTCCCTCCGTGGGTGGCAGGGCCCAGAGGAAAGTCAGCCTGGAATGTTCCATCGACGCTGGGCACTGCAGGGAGCCTAGGTTCATGGGCCCTCCCCTCCCTGGATAGATGGTACATGTCAAATGAGCTCCTGGAGCTGCAGGACAAGGTCACGTTCTCTCCTGTGCGAACCGTGGGGCCCGGCTGGGCTGAGAGTGAAGGTTTCCCAAATAGACCTGGAAGAAGAGGCAGTTTCCTCAGGGAGGTTCTTCCTTGTCACAGCTCCCCTCACACCTGAGCTGAGAACTCACTCCCCTGCTCTATGACCTAATGCTCTCTCTCTCTCTCACCCTCCACCCCCGACTCTCCCTGTGGATCCCTCCCTATGCAGCTCCAGCCTGGTGGTGGCATCAGCAGTGCACCCTTGCTGACCTTAGGGTAGCCAACCCTCTTGTTTGGTTTTTTAACTTGTCCTTGACCTGGATTCCTGTGTTGTTTCCTGTTGTTGCTGCAGAAAATTATCACAAACACGGCGGCGGGAGAGAACACTTCTGTTGACAGAAATCAGACCCTGTTCTTCCTGGGCTACAATCAAGGCATCTGCAGGGCTGCATTCCCTCTGGAGACTCGGGAGAATCAGTTCCATTGACTTCTCCAGCCCCTAAAGGCCACCTGCATTCCGTGGCTTCTGGCCTTCCTCCACTTTCAAAGCCCGCAGTGGCTGGTGGACTCTCCCTCCCACTACGCTGCTCTAATCCCCACTCTCCTCTTCCTCCTCCTCTCATGTGGACCCTTGTGATTACACTGAGCCCAGTGGGAGAGTCCAGGTCGTCTCCCCATCTCAAGGTCAACTCATCAACAACCTGAACTCCATCTTCCCCTTCAGTCCCATGTCCTATAACATAAATAGTCACAGGCTCCAAGGATTACAATATAGCCATGCTGCCGACAGTTACTCTTTCCACCACAGCACCCATTCCCCTGTATTCAATCCCCATTGACACCAAATACAGTCAGGGCCTGGATGATTGGACCCTGGTGGACACCCCCACCAGATGCTCTGGGATTCAGGAAGTGGGAGAAGGAGAAGCCCAGACATGAGTCCTCTGACCTGTGACCACGATCACCAGGGGGTTGCTGGGTGCCGACCACTCAATGGGGGAGCGCGGGTGTGAACCCCGACATCTGTAGGTCCCTGCGTGTGCAGGGGTCACAGGGCCCATGAGGATGCTCTTCCAGAATATTTTGTTGTAGAGCTCAGGGACAGGCACCCCATCTTCTTTGTACAGACTGAAGATGGTAAACCCAAGACGAGAGCGACACAGAAGAGTCACATGTCCTCCTCGAGGCACCACAGCGCTGGGCCAGGCAGACAGCAAGGGCTTGTCCTGTCCACCTGGGGGAGAAGGAGGCGCCACCTTAGAAAGGAGGATGTGGAGCCGCCCCTCCCTGCCAGTGCTCAGAAGATTCTCCCCACTTTCCTCGTTTCTAAGGCTCCTACCACACTTGGGTGCCCATGGGTACGGGAAGGACCCACCCCGCATAGACTTGGCGTCTCTCTACAACAAAAGTGTCAGCTGAGAACTTTGAGCAAGTGCTGAGTAAGGGACTCCTACTAGATTTTAATACTGCAAGATTACTCACATAAAACAACACAAATAGACATGGGGTCGAGGGCATGTTCTTTGTGAATGGAATATCAGCCAATGTGTGAACCACAATACACAACTGAGCCCCCAACAGAGGATTTGGAAGGTCAGGGCCCTGGCTGGGGTTCCCCCACCTCTGAGGTAGAATGACAGCAGCCACACTGCAGCCCCTACCGTCATGGAAACGCTGGAGGGTGTGAGTTACACCTTTGTCCTCAGAGGCCTGCTGTTCCTAGCACTGCTTTGCTCCCTTCCTCTGCCAGTGACACCACATCCCAGCCGCACAGCCCAGCTTGGAGGACCCCAGTCTACCCTCCCGGGTTCCCACAGAACCTGACTCAGCCAAGGGAAAGGAAGGCTGGGGAGGGCAAGGTCGGAACTGTGGGCTGAGCACCCCAGGGTCTCCTCATCCTTGTTTATAAGAAAATCCCCCACCGGGCTTCCCTCCTGTTTCAGGAAAATCCTCTTATGTGGGGAGATGACACCCGAAGGTTTGGAGAAGGACTCACCCTCATGTGTCCAGGCCCCCTGCAGCAAGAAGAACCCTGGAAAGAAAGATCATGATGGACCATCCATCTGCAGGCAAACCAGGACTCCCTTGCTGCCCCCACTGGGCTGTGAGTCTTGGTAGCCAGGCCCTTGCTGGGCTGAAGGGAAACTCACCCTCAGTGCCAGCCTGCACCCAAGAACAGGGCTGTCGGCTGTGTAGAGACCCAGCCTGCAGGCCCATATCCGCACCCCAGGCCCCTATCCCCACCCCAAGCCCATATCTCCACTCCAGGCCCATATCTCCACTCCAGGCCAATATTTCCACCCTAGACCCATATCTCCAATCCAGGCCCATATCTCCACCCCAAGCCCATATCTCCACACCCAGGCCCATATCTCCATCCTAGGCCCATATGTCCACTCCAGGCCCAGATATCCACCTCTAGGCCCATGTCTCCACCTCCAGGCCCATATCTCCACCTCCAGGCCCATGTCTCCACTCCAGGCCCATATCTCCATCCCAGGCCAATATCTTCACTCCAGGCTCATATCTCCCCTCCAGGTTCCTATCTCCACTCCAGGCCCAGATCTCCACTCCAGGCCCATATCTCCACCTCCAGGCCCATATCTCCACTCCAGACCCAGATCTCCACTTCTAGGCCCATCACTCCATCTCCAGGCCCATATATCCACTCCAGGCCCAGATCTCCACTCCAGGCCCATAACTCCACCTCCAGGCCTATATCTCCACCTCTGGGCCCAGATCTCCATCCCCGCGCTCCCTCCCTCTATTCCTTTCCAGGACTCACCAACACACGCCATGCTGACGACCATGAGCGACATGGTGCTGCCGGTGCAGACAGGCAGCCGCGCCCCAGCTCAGCTCAGCAGCGCACAGGATGTTATTTGGCGCCCTGCCCATGCAGCTTACATGTTGACTACATCATGGGAGGGTGACGTACGCAGGCTCTTTCTACCTTGCATGAGGCCCAGTGGATGCTTGCTCAAGAGCGGAACACGGCTTCCTGGAAATTGTTCTCACTAGAATTGGCACCTCACGTCCTTCACTATGACCAACTCACAACACGTCTCAGATCCAACCTCCCGAACACAAGATGCCTAAAATCTGTGCTAACGTGAAAGACTTTTCATGTATTTTTATCCGAACACGAGATGCCTAAAATCTGTGCTAACATGAAAGACTTTTCATGTATTTTTTTTGTTTTTATCTGAGATTCAAACTCTTCTTCCTGTGTAATATGCAAAGTATCTAATAGGTATTATTAATGTTTTCGGAGTCATTGTGACTAATAAACCATTAGAATTTTTCATGCTTGTATTTCTAGTATTACAGCAGAACCAGCTAAAATGATTTAAATTCCCAGGGAAGGATTATGCAATTATTTACAATCTTAGAATTGTACTTTATCAGCAAAAACCACACCTGTAAATTCTGGAGTTTTGTAGTTTAATCTAAAATTTGTCTCATGACCCAAGATTCCAGAGTCCCAACTCTGGAGTTTGCTCTCTGTCTGTCTCTCTCCCTCCCTCGTTTTAAATTTTACAGAAATATCCAGTAACATAATGCTATAGAAAATCAAGTTTTCCCCAGCACGTTGGGAAGCCGAGGTGGGCGGATCAACTGAGATAAGGAGTTTGAGAGCAGCTTGGCCAATATAGTGAAACCGTGTCTCTGTTAAAAATCCAAAAATTAGCCGTGCCTGGTGGCAGGCACCTGTAACGCCAGCTGCTCAAGAGGCTGAGGCACGAGAATCGCTTGAACCTGGGAGGCGGAGGTTGCAGTGAGCTGAGATTGTGTCACTGCAGTCCAGCCTGGGCGACAGAGCAAGACTCCGCCTCAAGAAAAAAAAAGCAAACAGCCTATAATAACAAATTAGAGGGCTCTGGCTACTAAATTTAAAGGGTTCTATAAGGCTACATAAAGTGCAGCATCATCAAGAGTGTGGACACAGAGAGCCCCTTAGCAGAAACAGTGTCTAAAATACATCCATGTACACACAGTCCCTTTAGAGTTGACAAAGGCTGCCGTGTGGTTTAAGGTGGCATAGAATGTCTTCTCAATAAATAATATTAAACCAATTGGTTACACCTAGGAAAAAATAAATCTAACTCACACTATAAAAACACTTCTTAGTTTTTATCTAGTTGTACATTTTTTATGATTTATATTTAAATTTGAGAAATAAAAGTCATATACGGTCATCCTTCACTATTCGTGGGTGATTGGTTTTGAGATCTCCACTCAGATACCAAAATCTGTAGATGCTCAAGCCTCTTATATGAAATGGCACAGAGTTTGCAAATAACCTATGCACATCCTCCTGTATACATGAAATCATCTCTAGATTACTTATAATTCCTGATACAGCCTACACACAGCTTCATTTGTGTCCATTCAACATAGTTATGCTTTTTGAAACTCTGTGGATACTTTCTCTCAATATTTTTGATTTATACTTGGTTCAATAAACACCTGTAAACCCCGCAGATATGGAGGAGTGACCGTATATTTATATTATGAAAGATGATGTGTTGATATGTGTCCCCATGGAGATGAGACTAACAAGGCCTATGATTCTACAAATGTTTCATTGTGGAATGACTCTGCCAGCTTTCCAGGTCTGCAGAGAGTAAGAGTATCACTTGTTCATATGATTCGTGATCCTTGGAACCTCCTATGTGCTACATCTTTGGATGGAAATTGGAGTCTCAGAGACAAATGAGGCTCCACCCTGCTTCCAGAAACTCAGAGTCCGGGGATGAGAACTCAGTGGGGAACAGATGGGATTATATGGACATGGTACTGATAACACCGGAAGCCTTAGGCAAGAAAAGAGTCCCATTACCGAAACCATGGGGGCAGACATGTTTATTTGAAGGATGGAAAACTACATTGAAGTTATTTTAAAAAATATATAAGTTTTACTGCTGACAGAAGACTGAAAGCTAGTCTGAGGGGAGGTGGAACAGCATGAGGGAAGGTGGAACAACACGTGTCTAAGTGCTGCGTTAAGAGGGAGCCTCTTGTATGTTTGGAATTGTGAGTTCCTCAGTGTGATTGCAGCCTCAAGTAGACTAGGAAGTAAGCCAGTTAGGTTGGAGAGGTGGGCAGGGGTCAAGTGAAATGGAGAACTGTGGGCTAAGCAAAGGAGTGTGTTTTTTCTCCAGCAGGCAGTGGGGACCTTAGACATTTGTAAGCAAGTGAGAGGCACATTCAGATTTGTGGTGTGAGGAAGAGCGATGCCCTAAGATGCAGACTCATGCCTTCAGATTCCAGCTGCTGGTACATGGGAGCTGGCAACCCGGTTTTGAGACAGGGCTGTTGTCTCCCTAGAAGACGCCCTCAAGGCCTGACTGTGGTGCTCATGGGCAGGAGACAACTTTGGATCTGGACTCAGCATTTGGAAGTTCCGCGTACACGATGATATCTGTTGGGGGTGTCTTGGGCCTCTGAGAAGGGCGAGTGATTTTTCTCTGTGTGAAAACGCAGTGATTCAACTGTGTGTATGTCACCTCCTGAGGGTCTTGTTCATCAGAGTCCTGGAGAGAGGGAAATGCTGAGTGAGGGAGGGTGCTCACATTTTCCAGGACTCTTTGGGAATAACAGTAGCCACGAGCCCGGGCCGAGGAGTACCTACCTCGCTATTCGCTGTTCTGTTCCCTGCAGACTCTTGGTCCATTACCGCAGCATCTGTAGGAGACGGAAGTCAACAAAACAGCTCGGAGGGCACTTCTGGGTCCTCATTTCATAAGCAGATACCAACATACAGGGGGAGACCATAGGTGGCTGAGGTCCCTCAGTTGCCAACAGCAGACTCAGACATTCTATCTCTCTGAGCTCAAGGACCCATCCCATGAATAGCTCTGAGTTCCCATCCCATTGATTCTGTCTCCCACTTTCTGCCTGTCATGGAACCTTCTCCTGGATGTGAGTGGCTGCAGGGGACATGAGGATACAGTTCAGAATCAGGCAACGGTCTGTGAGTTGAAGGCAGGGGCAGGGAGTCTGGTGCCCTCTCTAGAAAGTCCTGCCTCTGTGGCTGCTGCCTTGGGCCAGGGACCATCCTGTTTGTGAGGAACACACACCTGAGTGCTCCCATCCTGCTTCCCCACATGGCCCTGAGCTCTCTGGCCTCTGCTTCGTGAGACTTACTTTTTTTGTTGGAGCACCAGCGATGAAGGAGAAAGAAGAGGAGGATGAAGAGGATGATGACCACTGAGGTCCCAATCAGAATGTGCAGGTGTCGGGGGTTACCTGGAAGAAGATGAGACACCAATAAGAAGCTAATCTTAGCAGTTCCTCTTTATGAATTGTCTCGCATTTCTTGATTGACAGGTAACCACATAAAACATCTCTTTAGGACAAGCACCCAGATGGCAGGAGACCCAGCTTTCTCCTGCTTTTTCAGTTATAGCTCTCATAGTAACCATAGAACGTGCTGAGGATACGACTACTTTAGTTGAGATGTTTGACCCCTTCAAACCTCACATTGAAATTTCACCCCCACTGTGGGAGGTTGGGCCTCTTGAGAGGTGTTTGGGTCATGGAGGTGGATCCATCATGAACACATCAATGCTGTCCCAAGGAGACGGGGTTAGCAAGTTCCCCCTCTATTAGTTCCCGGAGAGCTGGTTGTTAAAAAGAGCTTGGAAGCTCCATCACTCCCCCTCCCCCTTGCTCCCTCTCTTGCCGTGTGATCTCTGTGGTCTCTGCACAGACAGACCCTCCTTCCCTTCTGCCAGAGTGGGAGCAGCCTGAGGCCGTCACGAGAAATAGATGCTGGTGCCATGCTTCCAGTACAGCCTGCAGAACGGTGAGGCAAACCAATCTCTTTTCTTTAGAAGTTACCGAGGCTCAAGTGTTCCTTTAGAGCAACAAAAATGGCCTAAGACAGCAACTTCCTGAGATCAGGAGGAACGTCTCAGAACACCCTGGGCTGTCTTCCTGTTCTTCCTGGAGGACGTCATGCAGTGCTTTAGCTGAGTGCTTCCTGTGGCTCCAGGGTACAAAACCCAGGCTGGGCTGCTTTCTGGCTTCCCGCAGCTACACTGCAAATGGGGTGACTCCATATGTCCCGAGGAGCTTTTCTGAGCCTTGAGGGACTGGCTCACATTGAAATATAGGTTTCTGTTGTCACTCGCTGCTTATCTGTTAGTAATGAACCTGCCTATGTAACGTATTCTCTGTGTGTTCTGTCTCCCTGGAGTGACGGTGAGTGATAGGAATTGGCATAGGCCCAGGTGCAGTCCAGGAGGTGTTTAGAGTCTTCTCTGGGAAGACTGGACTGGGATTGATTCACAGCGAATGTGCTTTAGGGTTTCTACATCCACAGCATTCTTGAATCAAACAACTTGCATTCTCCAAGGAAAGAAAACAAAAGTGAAATCAAGATAAAAAAAGCGAAATAGAATTCTCTTATGTCAAACGGCCAGGAAATAGTGTTGAAGCCCGTGTGAAACCTGCTGCTCTTTGTGATCTCGGGAGACACATATTAGGCTGCTGTTCTACCCGAGAGGCTGGGGGAAGGACCACCCCCTCGGCCATCTATTGCTTCAATACCACCTGTCCTCCTGTGAATTAGTAGGAAAGGGGAGCAGGAGCTAGTGCTGTCGCTGATCTCTGATTCCAAGATCTGGACTCACTCCAAGGAGTGTTAATGTTTACCTCCCCATGGTCTACCTGAATCTCCACAGGTGATTGGAAGTAGGGGTGAGGTGGGGGATTTGGGTGAGTGGGCAAGTTTTTTTTGTGATGACCAGAGCACTTTCTCTATTCCAGGATCTGTGCTGGAGGATTCAGCGGACTTTCACATTTTCTATATGATCTCATGCTCACAGAAAGCCAAATAGGGAAGAGGTTTTAGGCTCATTGCCTAATGGATAAGATAAAGGATCAAAGAAGTAATTATAGAGAAATAGAAAAATCATGATTGGAATTCAGGTCCCTTTGTCATTTGCGTGTGTTATATTATATTTATATTTATGCATTTCTTATTTTTATTTTTTGAGACGGAGTCTCCTTGTGCCACCCAGGCTGGAGTGCAGTGATGCAACCTCCACTCACTGCAACCTCCACCTCCTGGGTTGAAGTCATTCTCCTGCTTCATCCTCCAGAGTAGGAGCTGGGATTACAGGGATGCACCACCATGCTCGGCTAATTTTTGTGTTTTTCCTAGAGACAGGGTTTCACCATGTTGGCCAGGCTGGTCTCGAACTGCTGACTTCATGTGATCCACCCGCCTTGGCCTCCTGCAGTGCTGGGTTACAGGCGTGAGCCACCGTTCACAGACTTGTATATTATGCTATAATAGGTCTCTTCATTTCCACCACCCCTCATATATCTGTCACTCCTTTGCCAGGTATTGATTTATGTGTAGGATGAATAAATCTCAGAAAGAAATTAATTAAGCGAGGATTAAACAAGTAGGAAAATCAAACCCAGCAAGCCTTTCCAGTCAATGATTCTACCTCACAAACCTATCTTATATCCATCTACTTCATTCATTTAGTGTCTAAATCAGCACCACATTTCACCAGTGGGGCGGCAATTGCCTTTTCCACGGTCTCCTAGATTCCAGTTATGCAACTGAGCCTCCCTTATTTTCATGTCAGTCATATTAATCATGTAGGGATTCCTGGCTACCCCGAGGTGAATCCAATGGCTGTGAGTGTCAAACACACACTCCTTGTTCCTCCTTAGTTTCCTGTGTACCCAGTGTGCTCTCCGTCTCTCCACAGTCATCTTGTCATTCTCCCCACATCATTCCCAGCATTTGAGGAAGAGCCTCTTCCTTCCACATCAGATTGTTTTCACCTTTGTGCCTTCACGGCTGACAGCTGTGTGTGCAAAATCCTTCC
This sequence comes from Homo sapiens, assembly GCF_000001405.40. Classification (NCBI taxonomy): domain Eukaryota; kingdom Metazoa; phylum Chordata; class Mammalia; order Primates; family Hominidae; genus Homo; species Homo sapiens. Next base: position 63,776 of record NT_187675.1, on the reverse strand, counting down.
GCCAATCTTTCAGGGGTTCAATCCGTGTTTTTCATTAATGTCACAAATATCTGAATAGTGAGACCTTCTTTGTCACCTGAAATCATACACTCAGCATTATCTATTATTGATTTTGAATTCTGGCTGGGCACAGTGGCTCACGCCTGTAGTCCCATTACTTTGGCATGCTGAGACGGTCGGATCACTTGAGGTTGGGAGTTTCAGACAAGCTTGGCCAACGTGGTGAAACATCCTCTCTACAAAAAATATACAAAAAGAATTAGCCGGGCACGGTGGCAGTTGCCTGTAATCCCAGCTACTCGAGAGGCGGAGGCAGGAGAATCACTTGAATCCAGGAGAAGCAGGTTGCAGTGAGCCAAGATCGTGACACTGCACTGTAGCCTGGAAGACAGAGGGCAACTCTGTCTCAATAAACAAAAGAACAAACAAAAAATAGATTTCATGCACAGATGCTTCCCAATGGATCATTCATTTATAGATCCACTTGTGCATTCATTTTCTGCCCTCCCATTTAACCATCTGCAATATCAGTGTCCCAAGGGCAGAGGCCAAATGCATCTTGTTCACTGTTTGTGGAAGGCAGGAGAATGCTGTCCCACCCCAAAATGTCCCTGTCCTAGCCTCCATACCTTGTGAATATGTTATTTTACATGGAAAGGAGGAATGAAGATTGTAGATGGAATTACGGTTGCTAATCAGCTGAACTTAAAACAAGGGTATCCTGGATGATTTCCAGGAGATTATGAGGGATTTTCATCTTGGTGAACCCAATAGAATCCCCAAGTTTTCAAAAGATAAGGAAGAAGGGAGAGCAGCATTCAGAGAAAGAGGTGTGGTAAGGAAGAAGGCACTGAGTGATGCCATGTGAGATGTGACCAGTCTTTGTGGGTTTTGAGGAAGGAGGAAGGGGACCAGGAGCCAAGGAACTGGGAGCCTTTAGAAGCTGGGACAAGTGAGAAGCAGATTCTTGCCTGGAATCCTCAGAGGGAAGGCAGCCTTGCTGTCACCTTGATTTTAGCCCAGTAAGATGCACTTCCTACTTTGAGCTACAGCACTGTAAGATAATTAAAAAACCGTTTTGTTTTCACCCACGAATCTTGTGGAAATTTGTTATGGCAACAATAGGAAAAGGTTCCGCACTGCACAGCCTGAGCATGGGGCCGTGGCTGAATGAGTCAGTGAGTCGAAGTGTGCGTGCATGAGCTCCGTTCTCTGTTACGGCAAGGCTGTTGCTCTGCTGAGTCAGCCAGGGTTGCTTCATGACCAACAGTAATTCATTCCTTGGCAAGTGGAACTTCTCTAAAACACCTCGCCCTCATCAGATGTTCCCTTCCCTTCCCTCTCTCAAGCCCCCAGGAATTTATCCTCCAGTTAGGAATGCAGGCAGAACAAACATTGCATTTTTCCTGAGAAGGATGTCAGATTGGCAATCATTCTTCTAGCTTGTAGGAGGTCTCAGCTCCATAAAATGAGAGATTAAGAGATTTCACTGAGCCCTAGGTTGGGCCCAGATCCCTTTCGCTGTTGGAGTATCTGGAGTTCGGAGATGGTAGAAGACAGGCGTACAATGTCAGAGCTGCGAGATGCTGAGTCAATGCCTGCATCGAAGGTTTCTACCTCCCCAGGTTTCCAAAAGCGGATATAAGAGGGTTCTGTACTCACCGGTTTTAGAGCTTGGTTCAGTGGGTGAAGGCCAACTATTTGAAGGGTTTCCTAGAACATGAGACAGGAGAGAGGTGAGGAAATGAGGGTGTCTGTCCTCTACTCAATGGAAATCTTTGAGGTTGGTTCATGGCCAACACTCTGTTATCTAATATTGGGCCCTGGGAGTCCTGGGATCCTTTTTTCCATAATTTTTGTATGTGACGCCCATTGTCTTGAGACTTCAAGGTATAAAGAGAAAACAGGAGCATCACACTACCTGATCTCAAAATATGTTACAGAGCTGTAGTAAGCAAGACAGCATGATGTTGGCATGAAGAAAGGCACATAGAACAATGGAGCAGAATGAACAACACAAATATAATCCATGCATTTACATCCAATGTTTTTTTCTTTTTTCTTTTGAGATGGAGTCTCGCTCTGTCACCCAGGCTGGAGTGCAGAGGTGCAATCTCGGTTCACTGCCACCACAGCCTCCTGGGTTCAATCAATTCTCTGGCCTCAAACTCCTGAGTAGTGGTATTATAGGTGCTGACCACCATGCTCAGCTAATTTATATATTTTTAGTGGAGACGATGTTTCATCACGTCGGCCAGACTAATCTTGAACTCCTGGCCTCAGGTGATCCACCCGCCTTGGGCTCCCAAAGTGCTGAAATTGCAGGTGTCAGTCACCATGCCCAGCCCATCCAATGGACTTTGACAAAGGTGCCAAGAACTCACAATCAGGAAAGGACAGTCTTTTCAATAAACAGTGCAGGGAAACCTGGACATCTACATGCAGAGGAATGAAACTGCACCTCTACCTGTCACCATACACAAAAATCAAATGAAAATGGATTAAAGATGTGAGTCTAAGGCCTGAACCTATGAAACACGTAGAAGAAAATATTGGGGAAATGCTCCAGGACATTTGTCTGAAGGAAGACATTTTGTTTTAAACCTTCAAAACACAAGTAATCGAAGCAAAAATAGACCATTGGGATTACCTCAAGCTAAGCAACTTCTGCACCGCTAAAAATAAACCAACAAAGTGAAGAGACAACCCACAGATTGGGAGCAAATATGTGCAAACTATGCATCTGAGATGGGATTAATAACTAGAAATATAAGAAGCTCAAACAACTCAATAAAACAAATGATTTAATTGAAACAGGAGCAAAAGACATGAAATTTCCCCACATACGAAAAACTGCTCAGTATCACTCATCATCAGAGAAACGCAAATTAAAATCAAAGTGAGTTTTCATCTCACCCCATTAAAATGGCTTTTAGGCCGGGCGTGGTGGCTCACGTCTGTCATCCTAGATCTTTGAGAGCCTGAGGTGGGTGAATCTCATAAGGTCGGGAGTTTGAGACCAGTCTGACCCACATGGAGAAACACTGTCTCTACTAAAAATACAAAAATTAGTCGGGCGTGGTGGCGTGTGCCTGTAATTCCAGCTACTCGGGAGGCTGAGGCAGGAGAATCGCTTGAACCTGGGAGGTGGAGGTTGTGGTGAGCCGAGATCGCACCACTGCACTCCAGCCTGGGTGACAAGAGCGAAACTCCATCTCAAAATAAAATGAAATAAAGTAAAATGGCTTTTAGCTGCAAGACAGGCAAAGGAAATCCTGCCAAAGTGGTAGAGAAAGGAGAACCCTAATACCCTGTTGGTAGGAGTGTAAATTAGTACAGCCTTTACGGAGAAAAGTGTGGAAGTCCTTTAAAGAACTAAAAAGAGGTTGGGTGAGGTGGATCATGCCTGTAATCCCGGCACTTTGGGAGACCGAGGCGGACACCTCAGTTGAGGTCATGAGTTTGAGAGCAGCCCAGCCAACATGGGGAAACCCCATCTATACTAAAAAAACCAAAAAGTAGCCAGGCATGGTGGCGTGCACCTGTAATCCCAGCTACTAGGGAGGCTGAGGTAGGAAAATCATTTGAACCCAGGAGGCAGAGGTTGCAATGAGCCAAGATGACATCACTTGTACTCCAGCCTGGGCACAGAGGGAAACTGTCTCAAAAACAAAAACAAAACAACAAACGAATAACTAAAAAGAGAACTTTCATAGTATCCAGCAATTTCACTACTGGGTTTATATCCAAAGGAAAGTAAATCAATATATCGAAGTGATATCTGCACTCGTATGATTGGTGCAGCACTGTTCACAGTAGCCAAGATGTGGAGTCAACCTACCTGCCCATCAGTGGATGAATGGATAGAGAGAATGTAGTACATACGCACAGTGGAGACTACTCATCCATAGAAAGAATAACATCCTGATATTTGCAGCCACATGGATGGAACTGCAAGTCATTACAAAGATTCCCATTTCTCACCCATATACAGAGCTAAAAGGTGGATCTCATGAAGGTAGAGAGTAGAATGGTGGCTTCCAGAGGCCAGGAAGAAAAGGGTGGAGGGTAAAAAAAAAAAAAAAAAAAATATATATATATATATATATATATATATATATATATATATATATATATACACATATATATATGTATATATATGTGTGTGTATATATATATACATACATATATATATATATATATTTATAAATGTATTTATGACCACTAGACTTTACACTTAAAAATGGTAAATGTGGCTGGGAGTGGTGGCTCATGCCTGTAATCCCAGCACTTTGGGAGGCAGATGCGGGTGGATCACGTGGTCAGGAGTTGGAGACCAGCTCGACCAACATGGTGAAACCACCTCTCTACTAAAAATACAAAAAGTAGCCTGGCGTGGTGGTGCGCGCCTGTAGCACCAGCTACTCAGGTGGCTGAGGCAGGAGAATCACTTGAACCCAGGAGGCGGAAGTTGCAGTGAGCTGAGATTGTGCCACTGCACTGCAGCATAGGGGACAGAGCTAGACTCTGCCTCAAAAAAAAAAAAAATGTTAAAGGTGGTAAGCTATATAGGTATATTTATCCTCAATAAATATTTCTTCAAACAAAAGTAAAGGGTGTAGGGGTTGCTGGTGATGACATCCCTGTGTGGGTGAGAGGCCAGGATGGGCTTCTGGGAAATGGGTAATGTTGAGGGGCTGAGGGAACCTCTGATCTTCCCAAACTGAGCCCAGTCTCCCTCCTCTGGGTCTCTCCTGACCGCTTTCTCCATCTGCCTGTGTGCCTGGAGCCCTGGCCGCGGGCCTTCATGCAGGCCGTGTAGGAGGGTTTGGAGGTGCCCTGTCTGCCATCCTGTGCCCTGATCCCTCCCTCACACCCAAGCTTCGTCTTCTCTCTGCATCTGTCCATGCTTATCTCCATCATCAGCAGGAAGCTCCTCAGCTAAGGCTCTAGGATCATAGGACATGAGACAGATATGGGGTTTCCTCACCTATGACAGAAACAAGCAGTGGGTCACTCGAGTTTGACCACTCGTATGGAGAGTCACGGAAAGAGCCGAAGCATCTGTAGGTTCCTCCGTGGGTGGCAGGGCCCAGAGGAAAGTCGGCCTGGAATGTTCCGTTGACCTTGGGCCCTGCAGAGAACCTACATTCATGGGCCTCCCCCTCCCTGGATAGATGGTACATGTCATAGGAGCTCCGGGAGCTGCAGGACAAGGTCACGCTCTCTCCTGCCAGAACCGTGGGGCCCGGCTGGGCTGAGAGAGAAGGTTTCTCATATAGACCTGGAAGGAGAAGAGGCATTTTCCTCAGGGAGGATCTTCCTTGTCACAGCTCCCTTCACCTGAGCTGAGAACTCACTCCCCTGCTCTATGACCTAATGCTCTCTCTCTCTCTCTCTCACCCTCCACCCCATCTCTCTTCATATCTATTTCCTTCTTCCACCTTCTCTGTCTCTCTAGGTCTCTGACCTCGCTTCCCCACCTCTAGATATGTTTTCCGTTTTTGGATTGTTTTATTCTCTCTGACTCTCCTTGGGTTGGTTGACTTGATGTTACTTTTTTAAATTCTAAGTTTCTCACGTTGTGTCCTGTTCATAACTTTCTGCATATTTCTATCTATTATCTGTCGATCTATCTATTTATCTATTCGGTGCCTATCTACAAATTCTCTACCTGTCATCTATATCTATATATCATCTATGTATCTATCAGTTGTCTATCTATCCATCAATCATCTGTTATTTATATGTATGTATCATCTCTCTCTCTATGATTTCTGTCTGCCTCTCTATCTGTACGTATTATCTGTCTTCATCATCATCATCTCTATGTATTATCTATTAATGAATCAATCAATCATCATCTATGTATCTTTAACCTATTATCTATCATCTACCTATTTATCATCTATCTATATCTATCCATCTATCATCTGTATTGCTCTGCCTCTCGGTCTCTCTAGCTCTCTTTGGAATCTCTGCAATTCATCCCCACATCTCCATGTTTCTATGTCCTTGTGCCTCTCTCTCAGGACTCTAATTTTAGTGCTTTTCTCTGCTCCCTGCCATCATTCTCACCACTCCTCTGCCCTCTTTTCTCTCTCTTTATGTGTCTGTGAGTCTCTCAATCTCCTTCCTCTGGCTCATTCTCCGTGTGTTTATGTCTTTGCTTTTTGGTGTTCCTGATTTTTCTCTGTGCCTCTCAGTGATCCTTTCATATGTGGGGTTATTTGGAATGTGAGCCTCAGAATCCAGTCTGGAGACCACAAGTTCACACAGCATACAGGGGTTGGTGTTCTGGGGCCATGATATCCTGGGACGGTTACTCTCCATTACATGGAAGGCAGAGGTGTCAGAATAAACATGGCCTGTAGGTGCCACAAGGCCTGAGGCCACAGGGCCCAACTCAGGTCAGAAATATGGGTGTCCTTGGGTTCTCCTGGTAGAGAACACTTTGTGGAGGTAAAACAGAAATGAAACTTCTAACCTGTGCCAGGTCTGTGAGCAAAGTCAGCATGGAGGGACACCTCTCTCTGGGACATGTCTGTCTGTCTGTCTCTTTTAACTCTTTCTGTCTTTTCTAACTCCCTGTATGGCCCCTGTGTCTGTCCTCCGTTATGACACCTGGTCTGTACTTGTGTCTCCTGTTTCTCTGTCTCTGTTGGTACAAACCTCAGCAAGTCAGTCTCTCTCCATAAGAATACCAAGCTCATCTTCCTTACAACTACCTGGGGGTTCCAAGTCGTGGATCATTCACTCTGCAGCCCAATGACAATGAGAATGTCCGGACACTCTCACCTGTGATGACGATGTCCAGAGGGTCACTGGGAGCTGACAACTGATAGGGGGAGTGAGTAACAGAACCGTAGCATCTGTAGGTCCCTGCAAGGTCTTGCATCATGGGACCGATGGAGAAGTTGGCTTTGGAGACCCCATCATGGTGCTCTCCAATGAGGTGCAAAGTGTCCTTAAACTTCCCTTCTCTGTGCAGAAGGAAGTGCTCAAACCTGACATCTGACCAACATTGCAGGATGACTGTCTCTTCTGATTTCACCAGGCGACCTGGGTGGGCCAGGAGGGAAGGTTTTCTGTGGACTCCTAGGAAGAGAGGTTGTGAGTTTAGAAGGTGTCTCTCTTTATCATCCCATCCATGGCACCTAGAATGAGTGAGGCTTCCCCTTGCTGGTGTCTGTCTCTCTCCTTCCTCTCTGTGTCTTCATGTTCTTTTCTGTGCCCTTAACTCCTGGTGCAGGTCCTTCCATCTGTCTCCCTCCCTCTTCTCTGTCCCTCTGTCTCTAGTAGCCTCTGATTCCCTTCCCACTGGGCTTAGCCTCATCTCTTGGGGTGTTGTATCTATTTCACACTAATGTCTTTCCTGCTGTTTATGTGGGGGTGAAAGAGGAACCAGGATAGGCTGCACATCCAGGCTCTTATCAGCCTGGTTCAATCTCTTTTGGATGAATTGCAATCCTTGGCAGAAGATATGAACTGATGAATAAGGCAGGCACCAGTGTCCACACACCCTGTTCCTGGTGGGGACTGGGAGCCACTCTTGCCATGCCTGTGCCTTCTCCATGGTGCCAGCTTCCATAGGCTGGCTCCTGGTGCTGGTTGGAGGAGTATCAACCCCTCCCTATGTGGATGGAGCCTGGTGGTGGCATCATCATCCCACCCTTGCTGATCTCAGGGTAGCCAACCTTCTCCTTCTTTGGTTTCTTTAATTAATTAATTAATTTTGGAGACAGAGTCTCACTCCTTCACCCAGGCTGGAGTGAAGTGGTGTGGTCTAGGCTCACTGCAACCTCTGTTTCCTGGGTTCAAGTGATTCTCCTGCCCTCAGCCTCCTGAGTCGCTAGGATTACATGCACCTGCCACCATGCCTGGCTTTCCTTGGGTTGTTTCTTAACTTGTCCTTGACCTGGGTTCCAGTGTTGGTTTCCTGTTGCTGCTGTACAAAATTATCAGAAGCATGGAAGCAGGAGAGACCACACTGACACCTTCCAGTACTGGAGACAGAAATTGGACCCTATTTTTCCTGGGCTAAAATCAAGGCATCTGCAGGGCTTTGTTCCCTCTGGAGACTCTGGAGAATCAGTTCCTTGACTTTTCCAGCCTCTATAGGCCACCTGCATTCATGGCTCTTGGCCTTCCTCCACCTTCAAAGCTGGTGAAGACTTCCACTGGACTGCTCTAATCCCCACTCCCCTCTTCCTCCTCCTTTCATGTGCACCCTTGTGATTACACTGAGCCCAGTGGGACAGTCCAGGCTGTCTCCCCATGAGCTCCATCTTCCCCTTCAGTCCCTTCCCCTATAACATACATAGTCACAGACTCCAGGGATTAGAATGTAGTCATCACTGGGGACAATTATTCTTCCCACCACAGCACCCATTTCCCTGTATTCAATCCCCCTTTACCACAAATACAGTCAGGGCCTGCGTGATGGGACCCTCAAGGACATGCCCACCAGAAGCTCTGGGATTCAGGAGGTGGGACAAGGAGAATCCAAGACAGGAGCCCTCTGACCTATGACCACGATCACCAGGGGGTTGCTGGGTGCTGACCACCCACTGGGGGAGTGTGTGTGTGAACCCCGACATCTGTATGTCCCTGTTGTGCGGGGGTCACAGGGCCCATGAAAAGGCTGTTCCAGAATATTCTGTTGTAGAGCTCAGGGACAGGCACCCCACCTTCCTTGTACAGACTGAAGTTGTTAAACCCAAGATAAGAGTGACACCGAAGAATGACATGTCCTAGAGGCACCACAAGGCTGGGCCAGGCAGACAGCAAGGGCTTGTCCTGACCACCTTGGGGAGAAGGAGGCGCCGCCTTAGAGAGGAGGATGTGGAACTGCCCCTCCCTCCCTGTGCTCAGAAGATTCTCCTCGCTTTCCACGTTTCTATGGCTACTATCACACCTTGGTGCCCAGGGCTGAAGGAAGGACCCATCCCGCAAAGACATGGTGTCTCCCTACAACAAAAGCCTCAGCTGAGAACTTTGAGCAAGTGCTGAGTAAAGAGACTCCTACTAGATTTTGATACTGTAAGATTACTCACATAAAACAACACAGGGTAGACATGAGGTGGAGGGCATGTCCTTTGTGAATGGATATCAGCGGATGCCTGAACGAAAATAAACAACTGAGCCCCCATCAGAGGATTTGGAATGTCAGGGCCATGGCTGTGGTTTCCCACCTCTTCTGGTAGAATGACAGCAGCCACACTGCAGCCCCTACCATCATGGAAACGCTGAAGTGTGTGAGTAACACCTTTGTCCTCAGAGGATCTGCTGTTCCTACCACTTCCCAACCACACACCCCAGCTTTGAGCACCCCAGTCTAACCCTGGTCCCCACAGAACTTGACTCTGCCAAGGGGTTGAGAGGCCAGGGAGGCGAGGTCAGAAATGTGGGCTGAGCACCCCAGGGTCCTCTCTTCCTAGTTTATGAGAGACTCCCCGACAGGACTTCCCTCCTGTTTCAGGAAAATCCTCTTATGTGGGGAGATGACACCCGAAGGTTTGGAGAAGGACTCACCCTCATGTGGCCAGGCCCCCTGCAGCAAGAAGAACCCTGGAAAGAAAGATCATGATGGACGATCCATCTGCAGGCGAACCAGCCCTCCCTTGCTGCCCCCACTGGGCTGTGAGTCTTGGCAGCCAGGCCCTTCCTGGGCTGAAGTTAAACTCACCCTCAGTGCCTACCTGCACCCAAGAACAGGGCTGTCGGCTGTGCAGAGACCCAGTTTCCAGGCCCATATCCCCACCCCAAGCCCATATCTCCACTCCAGGCTGATATTTCCACCCTAGGCCCATATCGCCAATCCAGGCTCAGATCTCCACCCTAGGCCCCTATCTCCAATCCAGTCCCATATCTCCGCCCCAGGCCCAGAACTCCACCCTAAGCCCATATCTCCACTCCAGGCCCATATCACCTCTCCAGTCCCATATCTCCACACCCAGGCCCATATCTCCTTCCTAGGCCCATATCTCCACTCCAGGCCCAGATATCCACCTCTAGGCCCATAACTCCACTCCTGGCCCATATCTCCACTCCAGGCCCATATCTCTACTGCAGGCCCGTATCTCCACCTCCAGACCCATATCTCCACTCCAGGCCCATATCTCCACCTCCAGGCCCATATCTCCACCTCCAGGCCCATATCTCCACTTCAGGCCCATATCTCCACTCCAGGCCCATATCTCCACTCCAGGCCCCTATCTCTACTGCAGGCCCATATCTCCATCTCCAGGCCCATATCTCCATCTCCAGGCCCATGTCTCCACTACAAGCCCATATCTCTACTGCAGGCCCATATCTCAACCTCCAGGCCCATATCTCCACTCCAGGCCCAGATCTCCACTTCTAGGCCCATCACTCCATCTCTAGGCCCATAACTCCACTTCCAGGCCTATATCTCCAACTCTGGGCCCCGATCTCCATCCCCGCACTCCCTCCCTCGATTCCCTTCCAGGACTCACCAACACACGCCATGCTGACGACCATGAGCGACATGGTGCTGTCTGTGCAGACAGGCGGCCGCGCCCCAGCTCAGCTCAGCAGCGCACAGGATGTTATTTGGCGCCCTGCCCATGCAGTTTACATGTTGACCACATCATGGGAGGGTGACGTACGCAGGCTCTTTCTACCTTGCATGAGGCCCAGTGGGTGCTCGCTCAAGAGCGGAACATGGCTTCCTGGAAATTGTTCTCACTAGAATTGACACCTTGCGTCCTTCACTACGACCAGACTCAAAAGACGTCTCAGATCCAACCTCTCATACACGAGATGATTGAATTCTGTGCTTACATTAAAGATTTTTGATGTATTTTTGTTTTTATCTGAGATTCAAACTCTTCTTCATATGTAATGTGCAAAATGTCTAACAGGTATTATTAACATTATCAGAGTAATTGTGACAAGAAGCCATTCTAATTTTCCTGCTTGAGTTTCTAGTACTAAACCAGAGGCATCAGAATAGCTTGAACCTGGGAGGCGGAGGTTGCAGTGAGCTGAGCTCAAGCCACTGAACTCCAGCTTGGGTGACAGAGGAAGAGTCTGTCTCAAGAAAAAAAAAAAAGCAAACTAAATAACCTATAATAACAAATCAGAGGACTCAGGTTACCAAATTTTAAGGGGTTCTATAAGTTTATATAAAATGCAGCATCCTCATGAGAGGGGATACAGAGAACCACTGGACAGAAAACTGTGTCTAAAATACATCTGTGGATACACAGTCCCTTTATAGTTGACAAAGGCTGCCATGTAGTTTAAGGTGGAATAGAATATTTTCTCAACAAATAACACAGGACCATAGGGTTACACGTAGGAAAAAATAAATCTAAACTTATCCTCACACTATAAAAACACTTCTTATTTTTTATCTTGTTGTTGTAAATTTTTTATGCTTTATTTTTAAGATTGACAAATAAAAATTATATACCATGGTCCTTCACTATACCTGGGTGATTGGTTCCAGGATCCCCATTCAGATACCAAAATCTGCAGATGCTCAAGCCCCTTGCATGAAATGGCATAGTGAAGCTGGGCACCGTGGCTCACGCCCGTAATCCCAGCACTTTGGGAGGCTGAGCTGGGTAGATCACAAGGTCAGGAGTTCAAGACCAGCTGGTCCAACATTCTGAAACCCCGTCTCTACTAAAAATACACACACAAAAAAATTTATCTGTGCATGGTGGCACGTGCCTGTAATCCTAGGGGAGGCTACTGGGGAGGCTGAGGGAAGACAATCGCTTGAACCTGGGAGGCGGAGGTTGCAGTGAGTTGAGATCACGCCACTGCACTCCAGCCTGGGTGAGAGAGTGAGACTGTCTCAAAAAAAAAAAATAGCATAGCAATTGCATAGAACCCATGCACATCCTCCTGTATACATGAAATCATCTCTTGATTACTTATAATTCCTGACACAGCCTACACGCCACTCAATTTGTGTCGATTCAACATAGTTTTTTGCTTCTTGAAACTTCGGGGATTTTTTTCTCAAAATATTTTTGATTTATTGTTGGTTCAATAAACACCTGTAAACCCCACAGATATGGAGGACCGACTGTATATTTATATTATGAAAGATGATATGTTGATATGTGTCCCCGTGGAGATGAGACTAACAAGGCCTATGACTCTACAAATGTTTCATCGTGGAATGACTCTGCCAGCTTTCCAGGTCTGCAGAGAGTAAGAATATCACTTGTTCATGTGATTCACGATCCTTGGAGCCTCCTATGTGCTGTATCTTTGGATGGAAATTGGAGTCTCAGAGACAATTCAGGCTCCATTCTGCTTCCAGAAGCTCAGAGTCCAGGGCTGAGAACCCAATGGAGAACAGATGGGGTTATGTGGACATGGTAATGATAACACCGGAAGCCTTAGGCAAGAGAAGAGTCTCGTTACCGAAACCATGAGGGCAGACATGTTTATTTGAAGGCGGGAAAACTACATTGAAATTATTTAAAAAATTTATAAGTTTTACTGCTGGCAGAAGGCTGAAAGATAGTCTGAAGGGAGGTGGAACAGCACGTGTCTAAGTGCTGTGTTAAGAGGGAGCCTCTTGTATGTTTGGAATTGTGAGTTCCTCAGTGTGATTGCAGCCTCAGGTAGACTAGGAAGTAAGCTAGTTAGGTTGGAGAGGTGGGCAGGGGTCAAGTGAAATGGAGAATTGTGGGCTAAGCAAAGGAGTGTGTTTTCTCTCCAGCAGGCAGTGGGGACCTTAGACATTTGTAAGCAAGAGAGAGGCATGTTCAGATTCGTGGTGTGAGGAAGAGCGATGCCCTAAGATGAAGACTGATGCCTTCAGATTCCAGCTGCTGGTACATGGGAGCTGGCAACCCGGTTTTGAGACAGGGCTGTTGTCTCCCTAGAAGATCCCCTCAAGGCCTGACTGTGGTGCTCGTGGACAGAAGACAACTTTGGATCTGGGCTCAGCATTTGGAAGTTCTATGTACATGCTGGTATCTGTTGGGGGTGTCTTGGGCCTCTCAGAAGGGCGAGTGATTTCTCTCTGTGTGAAAACACAGTGATCCAATTATGCGTATGACACCTCCTGATGGTCTTGTTCATCAGAATCCTGGAGAGAGGGAAATGCTGAGTGAGGGAGGGTGCTCACATTTTTCAGGACTCTTTGGGAATAAGACTAGCCACGAGGCTGGGCCGAGGAGCACCTACCTCGCTGTTCACTGTTCTGTTCCCTGCAGGCTCTTGGTCCATTACAGCAGCATCTGTAGAAGACGGAAGTCAACAAAAGAGCTCGGAGGGCACTTCTGGGTCCTCATTTCATAAGCAGATACCAACAAACAGGGGGAGGCCATAGGTGCCTGAGGTCCCTCAGTTGCCAACAGCAGACTCAGACATTCTATCTCTCTGAGTTCAAGGACCCATCCCATGAATAGCTCTGAGTTCCCATCCCATTGATTCTATCTCCCACTTTCTGCCTGTCATGGAACCTTCTCCTGGATGTGAGTGGCTGCAGGGGACGTGAGGGTACAGTTCAGAATCAGGCAACGGTCTGTGAGCTGAAGGCAGGGGAAGGGAATCTGGTGCTCTCTCTAGAAAGTCCTGCCTCTGTGGCTCCTGTCTTGGGCCAGGGACCATCCTGCTGGTGAGGAACACACACCTGAGTGCTCCCATCCTGCTTCCCCACATGGCCCTGAGCTCTCTGGCCTCTGCTTCGTGAGACTTACTTTTTTTGTTGGAGCACCAGCGATGAAGGAGAAAGAAGAGGAGGATGGTGAAAGGGATTTTGACCACTGAGGTCCCAATCAGAACATGCAGGTGTCTGGGGTTACCTGGAAGAAGAGGAGACACCAATAAGAAGCTAATCATAGCAGTTCCTCTTTATGAATTGTCTCGCATTTCTTGATTGGCAGGTAACCACATACAACGTCTCTTTAGGACAAGCACCCAAATGGCGGGAGACCTAGCTTTCCCCTGCTTTCTCAATTATAGCTCTCATAGTAACCATAGAACGTGCTGAGGATACAACTACTTTAGTTGAGATGTTTGACCCCTTCAAACCTCACATTGAAATTTCACCCCCATTGTGGGAGGTTGGGCCTCTTCAGAGGTGTTTGGGTCATGGAGGTGGATCCATCATGAACAGATCAATGCTGTCCCAAGGAGACGGGGTTAGCAAGTTCCCCCTCTGTTAGTTCCTGGACAGCTGGTTGTTAAAAAGAGCTTGGAAGCTCCATTGCTCCCTCTCCCCCTTACTCTCTCTCTTGCCGTGTGATCTCTGTGGTCTCTGCACAGACAGACCCTCCTTCCCTTCTGCCAGAGTGGGAGCAGCCTGAGGCCATCACGAGAAATAGATTCTGGTGCCATGCTTCCAGTACAGCCTGCAGAACTGTGAGGCAAACCGATCTCTTTTCTTTAGAAGTTACCGAGGCTCAAGTGTTCCTTCAGAGCAACAAAAAAAAAAACTAAGACAGCAACGACCTGAGATCAGGAGGAATGTCTCAGAACAGCCTGGGCTGTCTTCCTGTTCTTCCTGGAGGAAGGCGTCATGCAGTGCTTTAGCTGAGTGCTTCCTGTGGCTCCAGGGTACAAAACCCAGGCTGGGCTGCTTTCTGGCTTCCCCCAGCTACACTGCAAATGGGGTGACTCCATATGTCCCGAGCAGCTTTTCTGAGCCTTGAGGGACTGGCTCACATTGAAATGTAGGCTTCTGTTGTCACTCGCTGCTTATCTGTTAGTAATGAACCTGCCTGTGTAATGTATTCTCTGTGTGTTCTGTCTCCCTGGAGTGACGGTGAGTGATAGGAATTGGCATAGGCCCAGGTGCAGTCCAGGAGGTGTTTAGAGTCTTCTCTGGGAAGACTGCACTGGGATTGATACACAGCGACTGTGCTTTAGGATTTCTACATCCACGGCATTCTTGAGTCAAACAACTTGCATTCTCCAAGAAAAGGAAACAAAAGTGAAATCAAGATAAAAAAAGCGAAGTAGAATTCTCTTATGTCAAATGGCCAGGAAACAGTGTTGAAGCCCATGTGAAACGTGCTACTCTTTGTGATCTCAGGAGACACATGTTAGGTTGCTGTTCTACCCGAGAGGCTGGGGGAAGGACCACCCCCTCGGCCATCTATTGCTTCAATACCACCTGTCCTCCTGTGAATTAGTAGGAAAGGGGAGCAGGAGCTACTGCTGACGCTAATCTCTGATTCCAAGATCTGGACTCACTCCAAGGAGTATTAGAATTTACCTCCCCATGGCCTATCTGAATCTCCACAGATGATTGGAAGTAGGGGTGAGGTGGGGGATTTGGGTGAGAGGGCATGTTTTCTTGTGATGAACAGAGCACTTTGTGTATTCCAGGATCTGTGCTGGAGGATTCAGCGGGCTTTCACATTTTCTATATGATCTCATGCTCACAGAAAGCCAAATAGGGAAGAGGTTTTAGGCTCATTGCCTAATGGATAAGATAAAGGATCAAAGAAGTAATTATAGAGAAATAGAAAAATCATGATTGGAATTCAGGTCCCTTTCTCATTTGCATGTGTTATATTATATTTATATTTATGCATTTCTTATTTTTATTTTTTGAGACGGAGTCTCCTTGTGTCACCCAGGCTGGAGTGCAGTGATGCAATCTCCACTCACTGCAACCTCCACCTCCTGGGTTGAAGTCATTCTCCTGCTTCATCCTCCAGAGTAGGAGCTGGGATTACAGGGATGCACCACCATGCTCGGCTAATTTTTGTGTTTTTCCTAGAGACAGGGTTTCACCATGTTGGCCAGGCTGGTCTCGAACTGCTGACTTCATGTGATCCACCCGCCTTGGCCTCCTGCAGTGCTGGGTTACAGGCGTGAGCCACCGTTCACAGACTTGTATATTATGCTATAATAGGTCCCTTCATTTCCACCACCCCTCATATATCTGTCACTCCTTTGCCAGGTATTGATTTATGTGTAGTAGGAATAAAGCTCAGAAAGAAATTAAGCGAGGATTAGACAACTAGGAAAATCATACCCAGCAAGCCTTTCCAGCCAATGATTCCACCTCACAAGCATAGCTTATATCCATCTGCTTCACCCAGTTAGGGTCTAAATCAGCACCACATTTCACCAGTGGGGCGGGAATTGCCTTTTCCACAGTCTCCTAGATTCCAGTTATGCACCTGGGCCTCCCTTATTTTCATGTCAGTCACTATTAATCATGTAGGGATTCCTGGCTACCCCGAGGTGAATCCAATGGCTGTGAGTGTCAAACACACACTCCTTGTTGCTCCTTAGTTTCCTGTGTACCCAGTGTGCTCTCCGTCTCTCCACAGTCGTCTTGTCATTCTCCCCACCTCATTCCCAGCATTTGAGGCAGAGCCTCTTCCTTCCACATCAGATTGTTTTCAGCTTTCTGCCTTCACGGCTGACAGCTGTGTGTGGAAAATCCTTCCGCCAATCTTTCAGGGGTTCAATCCGTGTTTTTCATTAATGTCACAAATATCTGATTAGTGAGATCTTCTCTGTCACCCAAAATCATACACTCAGCATTATGTATTATTTATTTTAAATTCTGGCTGGGCACAGTGGCTCACGCCAGTTATCCCAGTACTTTAGGATGCTGAGACGGTCGGATCACTTGAGGTTGGGAGTTTCAGAGAAGCTTGGCGAAGATGGTGAAACATCCTCTACAAAAAATATACAAAAAGAATTAGCCGGGCATGGTGGCAGTTGCCTGTAATCCCAGCTACTTGAGAGGCTGACGCAGGAGAATCACTTGGATCCAGAAGGTGCAGGTTGCAGTGAGCCAAGATGGTGACACTGCACTGTAGCCTGGAAGACAGAGGGAGACTCTGTCTCAATAAACAAATGAAGAAACAAACAAATAGATTTCATACACAGATGCTTCCCAATGGATCATTCATTTATTGGTCCACTTGTGCATTCATTTTCTGCCCTCCCATTTAACCATCTGCAATATCAGTGTCCAAAGAGCAGAGGCCAAATGCATCTTGTTCACTGTTTGTGGAAGGCAGGAGAATGCTGTCCCACCCCAAAATGTCCCTGTCCTAGCCTCCATAGCTTGTGAATATCTTATTTTACATGGAAAGGAGGAATGAAGATTGCAGATGGAATTATGGTTGCTAATCAGCTGAACTTAAAACAAGGGTATCCTGAATGATTTCCGGGAGATTATGATGGATTTTCATCTTGGTGAACCCAATAGAATCCCCAAGTTTTCAAAAGATGAGGAAGAAGGGAGAGCAGCATTCAGAGAAAGAGGTGTGGTAAGGAAGAAGGGTCTGAGTGATGCCATGTGAGATGTGACCAGTCTTTGTGGGCTTTGAGGAAGGAGGAAGGGGACCAGGAGCGAAGGAATGTGGGAGCCTCTAGAAGCTGAGAAAAGTGAGAAGCAGATTCTTGCCTGGAATCCTCAGAGGGAAGGCAGCCTTGCTGTCACCTTGATTTTAGCCCAGTGAGATGCACTTCATACTTTGAGCTACAGCACTGTAAGATAATTAAAAAACCGTTTTGTTTTCACCCACGAATCTTGTGGAAATTTGTTATGGCAACAATAGGAAAAGCTTCCACAGTGCACAGCCTGAGCATGGGGCCGTGGCTGAATGAGTCAGTGAGTCGAAGTGTGCGTGCATGAGCTCTGTTCTCTGTTACAGCAAGGCTCTTTCTCTGCTGAGTCAGCCAGGGTTGCTTCATGACCTATAGGAGCTCATTCCTTGGCAAGTGGAACTTCTCTAAAACACCTCGCCCTCATCAGATGTTCCCTTCCCTTCCCTCTCTCAAGTCTCCAGGAATTTATCCTCCAGTTAGGAATGCAGGCAGAACAAACATTGCATTTTTCCTGAGAAGGATGTCAGATTGGCAATCATTCTTCTAGCTTGTAGGAAGTCTCAGCTCCATAAAATGAGAGATGAAGAGATTTCACTGAGCCCTGTGTTGGACCCAGATCCCTTTTGCTGTAGGAGTATCTGGAGTTCGGAGATGGTGGAAGACAGGGGTACAATGTCAGAGCTGTGAGATGCTGAGTCAACGCCTGAATCCAAGGTTTCCACCTCCCCAGGTTTCCAAAAGCGGATATAAGAGGGTTCTGTACTCACCGGTTTTGGAGCTTGGTTCAGTGGGTGAAGGCCAACTATTTGAAGGGTTTCCTAGAACATGAGACAGGAGAGAGGTGAGGAAATGAGGGTGTCTGTCCTCTACTCAGTGGAAATCTTTGAGGATGGTTCATGGCCAACACTCTGTTATCTAATATTGGGCCCTGGGAGTCCTGGGATCCTTTTTTCCATAATTTTTTTATGTGACGCCCACTGTCTTGAGACTTCAAGGTATAAAGAGAAAACAGGAGCATCACACTACCTGATCTCAAAATATGTTACAGAGCTGTAGTAAGCAAAACAGCATGACATTGGCATAAAGAAAGGGACATAGAACAACGGAGCAGAATGAATAACACAGATATATTCCATGCATTTACATCCAATGGTTTTTTATTTTTTCTTTTGAGATGGAGTCTTGCTCTGTCACTCAGGCTGGAGTGCAGAGGTGCAATCTCAGTTCACTGCAACCTCAGCCTCCTGGGTTCAATCATTCTCTTGCCTCAAACTCCTGAGTAGTGGTATTACAGGTGCTGACCACCATGCTCAGCTAATTTTTATATTTTTAGTGGAGACGATGTTTCATCACGTCGTCCAGACTGATCTTGAACTCCTGGCCTCAGGTAATCCACCCGCCTCGGCCTCCCAAAGTGCTGAAATTGCAGGTGTCAGCCACCAAGCCCAGCCCATCCAATGGACTTTGACAAAGGTGCCAAGAACTCACAATCAGGAAAGGACAGTCTTTTCAATAAACAGTGCAGGGAAACCTGGACATCGACATGCAGAGGAATGAAACTGCACCTCTACCTGTCACCATACACAAAAATCAAATGAAAATGGATTAAAGATGTGAGTCTAAGGCCTGAACCTATGAAACACGTAGAACAAAATATTGGGGAAATGCTCCAGGACATTTGTCTGAAGAAAGACATTTTGTTTTAAACCTTGAAAACACAAGTAATCGAAGCAAAAATAGACCATTGGGATTACCTCAAACTAAGCAACTTCTGCACTGCTAAAAATAAACCAACAAAGTGAAGAGACAACCCACAGATTGGGAGCAAATATGTGCAAACTATGCATCTGAGATGGGATTAATAACTAGAAATATAAGAAGCTCAAACAACTCAATAAAACAAATGATTTAATTGAAAAAGGAGCAGAAGACATGAAATTTCCCCACATACTAAAAAGTGCTCAGTATCACTCATCATCAGAGAAACGCAAATTAAAATCAAAGTGAGTTTTCATCTCACCCCATTAAAATGGCTTTTAGGCCGGGCGTGGTGGCTCACGTCTGTCATCCTAGAACTTTGAGAGCCTGAGGTGGGTGAATCTCATAAGGTCAGGAGTTTGAGACCAGTCTGACCCACATAGAGAAACACTGTCTCTACTAAAAATACAAAAATTAGTCGGGCGTGGTGGAGTGTGCCTGTAATTCCAGCTACTCGGGAGGCTGAGGCAGGAGAATCGCTTGAACCTGGGAGGTGGAGGTTGTGGTGAGCCGAGATAGCGCCACTGCACTCCTGCCTGGGTGAGAAGAGCAAAACTCCATTCAAAATAAAATGAAATAAAATAAAATGGCTTTTAGCTGCAAGACAGGCAAAAGAAATGCTGGCAAGGTGGTAGAGAAAGGAGAACCCTGGTACCCTGTTGGGAGGAGTGTAAATTAGTACAGCGATTACGGAGAAAAGTATGGAAGTCCTTTAAAGAACTAAAAAGAGGTTGGGTGTGGTGGATCAGGCCTGTAATCCCAGCACTTTGGGAGACTGAGGCGGGCATCTCAGTTGAGGTCATGAGTTTGAGAGCAGCCCAGCCAACATGGGGAAACCCCATCTATACTAAAAAAAACAAAAAGTAGCCAGGCATGGTGGCGTGCACCTGTAATCCCAGCTACTAGGGAGGCTGAGGCAGGAAAATCATTTGAACCCAGGAGGCAGAGGTTGCAATGAGCCAAGATGACATCACTTGTACTCCAGCCTGGGCACAGAGGGAAACTGTCTCAAAAACAAAAACAAAACAACAAACGAAAAACTAAAAAGAGAACTTTCATAGTATCCAGCAATTTCACTACTGGGTTTATATCCAAAGGAAAGTAAATCAATATATCGAAGTGATATCTGCACTCGTATGATTGGTGCAGCACTGTTCACAGTAGCCAAGATGTGGAGTCAACCTACCTGCCCATCAGTGGATGAATGGATAGAGAGAATGTAGTACATACGCACAGTGGAGACTACTCATCCATAGAAAGAATAACATCCTGATATTTGCAGCCACATGGATGGAACTGGAAGTCATTACAAAGATTCCCATTTCTCACCCATATACAGAGCTAAAAGGTGGATCTCATGAAGGTAGAGAGTAGAATGATGGCTTCCAGAGGCCAGGAAGAAAAGGGTGGAGGGTAAAAAAAAAAAAAAAATATATATATATATAAATGTATTTATGACCACTAGACTTTACACTTAAAAATGGTAAATGTGGCTGGGCGTGGTGGCTCATGCCTGTAATCCCAGCACTTTGGGAGGCACATGCGGGTGGATCACGTGGTCAGGAGTTGGAGACCAGCTCGACCAACATGGTGAAACCACCTCTCTACTAAAAATACAAAAAGTAGCCTGGCGTGGTGGTGCGCGCCTGTAGCACCAGCTACTCAGGTGGCTGAGGCAAGAGAATCGCTTGAACCCAGGAGGCGGAAATTGCAGTGAGCTGAGATTGTGCCACTGCACTCCAGCATAGGGGACAGAGCTAGACTCTGCCTCAAAAAAAAAAAAAATGTTAAAGGTGGTAAGCTATATAGGTATATTTATCCTCAATAAATATTTCTTCAAACAAAAGTAAAGGGTGTAGGGGTTGCTGGTGATGACATCCCTGTGTGGGTGAGAGGCCAGGATGGGCTTCTGGGAAATGGATAATGTTGAGGGGCTGAGGGAACCTCTGATCTTCCCAAACTGAGCCCAGTCTCTCTCCTCTGGGTCTCTCCTGACCGTTTTCTCCATCTGCCTGTGTGCCTGGAGCCCTGGCCGCGGGCCTTCATGCAGGCCGTGTAGGAGGGTTTGGAGGTGCCCTGTCTGCCATCCTGTGCCCTGATCCCTCCCTCACACCCAAGCTTCGTCTTCTCTCTGCATCTGTCCATGCTTCTCTCCATCATCAGCAGGAAGCTCCTCAGCTAAGGCTCTAGGATCATAGGACATGAGACAGATATGGGGTTTCCTCACCTGTGACAGAAACAAGCAGTGGGTCACTCGAGTTTGACCACTCATAGGGAGAGTCACGGAAAGAGCCGAAGCATCTGTAGGTTCCTCCGTGGGTGGCAGGGCCCAGAGGAAAGTCGGCCTGGAATGTTCCGTTGACCTTGGGCCCTGCAGAGAACCTACGTTCATGGGCCTCCCCCTCCCTGGATAGATGGTACATGTCATAGGAGCTCCGGGAGCTGCAGGACAAGGTCACGCTCTCTCCTGCCAAAACCGTGGGGCCCGGCTGGGCTGAGAGAGAAGGTTTCTCATATAGACCTGGAAGGAGAAGAGGCATTTTCCTCAGGGAGGATCTTCCTTGTCACAGCTCCCTTCACCTGAGCTGAGAACTCACTCCCCTGCTCTATGACCTAATGCTCTCTCTCTCTCTCTCTCACCCTCCACCCCATC
This sequence comes from Homo sapiens, assembly GCF_000001405.40. NCBI lineage: Eukaryota > Metazoa > Chordata > Mammalia > Primates > Hominidae > Homo > Homo sapiens. The sequence goes on along the minus strand of NT_187675.1, from coordinate 42,067 downwards.
TCTCTTCATGTCTATTTCCTCCTTCCACCTTCTCTGTCTCTCTAGGTCTCTGACCTCGCTTCCCCACCTCTAGATATGTTTTCCCTTTTTGGATTCTTTTATTCTCTCTGACTCTCCTTGGATTGGTTGACTTGATGTTACTTTTTTAAATTCTAAGTTTCTCACGTTGTGTCCTGTTCATAACTTTCTGCATATTTCTATCTATTATCTGTCGATCTATCTATTTATCTATTCGGTGCCTATCTACAAATTCTCTACCTGTCATCTATATCTATATATCATCTATGTATCTATCAGTTGTCTATCTATCCATCAATCATCTGTTATTTATATGTATGTATCATCTCTCTCTCTATGATTTCTGTCTGCCTCTCTATCTGTACGTATTATCTATCTGTCTTCATCATCATCATCTCTATGTATTATCTATTAATGAATCAATCAATCATCATCTATGTATCTTTAACCTATTATCTATCATCTACCTATTTATCATCTATCTATATCTATCCATCTATCATCTGTCTTGCTCTGCCTCTCGGTCTCTCTAGTTCTCTTTGGAATCTCTGCAGTTCATCCCCACATCTCCATCTTTCTATGTCCTTGTGCCTCTCCCTCAGGACTCTAATTTTAGTGCTTTTCTCTGCTCCCTTCCATCATTCTCACCACTCCTCTGCCCTCTTTTCTCTCTCTTTATGTGTCAGTGAGTCTCTCAATCTCCTTCCTCTGGCCCATTCTCTGTGTGTTTATGTCTTTGCTTTTTGGTGTTCCTGATTTCTCTCTGTGCCTCTCAGTGATCCTTTCATATGTGGGGTTATTTGGAATGTGAGCCTCAGAATCCAGTCTGGAGACCACAAGTTCACACAGCATACAGGGGTTGGTGTTCTGGGGCCATGATATCCTGGGACGGTTACTCTCCATTACATGGAAGGCAGAGGTGTCAGAATAAACATGGCCTGTAGGTGCCACAAGGCCTGAGGCCACAGGGCCCAACTCAGGTCAGAAATATGGGTGTCCTTGGGTTCTCCTGGTAGAGAACACTTTGTGGAGGTAAAACAGAAATGAAACTTCTATCCTGTGCCAGGTCTGTGAGCAAAGTCAGCATGGAGGGACACCTCTCTCTGGGACATGTCTGTCTGTCTGTCTCCTTTAACTCTTTCTGTCTTTTCTAACTCCCTGTATGGCCCCTGTGTCTGTCCTCCGTTATGACACCTGGTCTGTACTTGTGTCTCCTGTTTCTCTGTCTCTGTTGGTACAAACCTCAGCAAGTCAGTCTCTCTCCATAAGAATACCAAGCTCATCTTCCTTACAACTACCTGGGGGTTCCAAGTCGTGGATCATTCACTCTGCAGCCCAATGACAATGAGAATGTCCGGACACTCTCACCTGTGATGACGATGTCCAGAGGGTCACTGGGAGCTGACAACTGATAGGGGGAGTGAGTAACAGAACCGTAGCATCTGTAGGTCCCTGCAAGGTCTTGCATCATGGGACCGATGGAGAAGTTGGCCTTGGAGACCCCATCATGGTGCTCTCCAATGAGGTGCAAAGTGTCCTTATACTTCCCCTCTCTGTGCAGAAGGAAGTGCTCAAACCTGACATCTGACCAACATTGCAGGATGACTGTCTCTTCTGATTTCACCAGGGGACCTGGGTGGGCCAGGAGGGAAGGTTTTCTGTGGACTCCTAAGAAGAGAGGTTGTGAGTTTAGAAGGTGTCTCTCTTTATCATCCCATCCATGGCACCTAGAATGAGTGAGGCTTCCCCTTGCTGGTGTCTGTCTCTCTCCTTCCTCTCTGTGTCTTCATGTTCTTTTCTGTGCCCATAACTCCTGGTGCAGGTCCTTCCATCTGTCTCCCTCCCTCTTCTCTGTCCCTCTGTCTCTAGTAGCCTCTGATTCCCTTCCCACTGGGCTTAGCCTCATCTCTTGGGGTGTTGTATCTATTTCACACTAACGTCTTTCCTGCTGTTTATGTGGGGGTGAAAGAGGAACCAGGATAGGCTGCACATCCAGGCTCTTATCAGCCTTGTTCAATCTCTTTTGGATGAATTGCAATCCTTGGCAGAAGGTATGAACTGATGAATAAGGCAGGCACCAGTGTCCACACACCCTGTTCCTGGTCGGGACTGGGAGCCACTCTTGCCATGCCTGTGCCTTCTCCATGGTGCCAGCTTCCATAGGCTGGCTCCTGGTGCTGGTTGGAGGAGTATCAACCCCTCCCTATGTGGATGGAGCCTGGTGGTGGCATCATCATCCCACCCTTGCTGATCTCAGGGTAGCCAACCTTCTCCTTGTTTGGTTTCTTTAATTAATTAATTAATTTTGGAGACAGAGTCTCACTCCTTCACCCAGGCTGGAGTGAAGTGGTGTGGTCTAGGCTCACTGCAACCTCTGTTTCCTGGGTTCAAGTGATTCTCCTGCCCTCAGCCTCCTGAGTCGCTAGGATTACATGCGCCTGCCACCATGCCTGGCTTTCCTTGGGTTGTTTCTTAACTTGTCCTTGACCTGGGTTCCAGTGTTGGTTTCCTGTTGCTGCTGTACAAAATTATCAGAAGCATGGAAGCAGGAGAGACCACACTGACACCTTCCAGTACTGGAGACAGAAATTGGACCCTATTTTTCCTGGGCTAAAATCAAGGCATCTGCAGGGCTTCGTTTCCTCTGGAGACTCTGGAGAATCAGTTCCTTGACTTTTCCAGCCTCTATAGGCCACCTGCATTCATGGCTCTTGGCCTTCCTCCACCTTCAAAGCTGGTGAAGACTTCCACTGGACTGCTCTAATCCCCACTCCCCTCTTCCTCCTCCTTTCATGTGCACCCTTGTGATTACACTGAGCCCAGTGGGACAGTCCAGGCTGTCTCCCCATGAGCTCCATCTTCCCCTTCAGTCCCTTCCCCTATAACATACATAGTCACAGACTCCAGGGATTAGAATGTAGTCATCACTGGGGACAATTATTCTTCCCACCACAGCACCCATTTCCCTGTATTCAATCCCCCTTTACCACAAATACAGTCAGGGCCTGCGTGATGGGACCCTCAAGGACATGCCCACCAGAAGCTCTGGGATTCAGGAGGTGGGACAAGGAGAATCCAAGACAGGAGCCCTCTGACCTATGACCACGATCACCAGGGGGTTGCTGGGTGCTGACCACCCACTGGGGGAGTGTGTGTGTGAACCCCGACATCTGTATGTCCCTGTTGTGCGGGGGTCACAGGGCCCATGAAAAGGCTGTTCCAGAATATTCTGTTGTAGAGCTCAGGGACAGGCACCCCACCTTCCTTGTACAGACTGAAGTTGTTAAACCCAAGATAAGAGTGACACCGAAGAATGACATGTCCTAGAGGCACCACAAGGCTGGGCCAGGCAGACAGCAAGGGCTTGTCCTGACCACCTTGGGGAGAAGGAGGCGCCGCCTTAGAGAGGAGGATGTGGAACTGCCCCTCCCTCCCTGTGCTCAGAAGATTCTCCTCGCTTTCCACGTTTCTATGGCTACTATCACACCTTGGTGCCCAGGGCTGAAGGAAGGACCCATCCCGCAAAGACATGGTGTCTCCCTACAACAAAAGCCTCAGCTGAGAACTTTGAGCAAGTGCTGAGTAAAGAGACTCCTACTAGATTTTAATACTGTAAGATTACTCACATAAAACAACACAGGGTAGACATGAGGTGGAGGGCATGTCCTTTGTGAGTGGATATCAGCGGATGCCTGAACGAAAATAAACAACTGAGCCCCCATCAGAGGATTTGGAATGTCAGGGCCATGGCTGTGGTTTCCCACCTCTTCTGGTAGAATGACAGCAGCCACACTGCAGCCCCTACCATCATGGAAACGCTGAAGTGTGTGAGTAACACCTTTGTCCTCAGAGGATCTGCTGTTCCTACCACTTCCCCACCACACACCCCAGCTTTGAGCACCCCAGTCTAACCCTGGTCCCCACAGAACTTGACTCTGCCAAGGGGTTGAGAGGCCAGGGAGGCAAGGTCAGAAATGTGGGCCGAGCACCCCAGGGTCCTCTCTTCCCAGTTTATGAGAGACTCCCTGACAGGACTTCCCTCCTGTTTCAGGAAAATCCTCTTATGTGGGGAGATGACAACCGAAGGTTTGGAGAAGGACTCACCCTCATGTGGCCAGGCCCCCTGCAGCAAGAAGAACCCTGGAAAGAAAGATCATGATGGACCATCCATCTGCAGGCAAACCAGGACTCCCTTGCTGCCCCCACTGGGCTGTGAGTCTTGGCAGCCAGGCCCTTCCTGGGCTGAAGTTAAACTCACCCTCAGTGCCTACCTGCACCCAAGAACAGGGCTGTCGGCTGTGCAGAGACCCAGTTTCCAGGCCCAGATCCCCACCACAAGCCCATATCTCCACTCCAGGCTGATATTTCCACCCTAGGCCCATATCTCCAATCCAGTCCCATATCTCTGCCCCAGGCCCAGATCTCCACCCTAAGCCCATATCTCCACTCCAGGCCCATATCACCTCTCCAGTCCCATATCTCCACACCCAGGCCCATATCTCCTTCCTAGGCCCATATCTCCACTCCAGGCCCAGATATCCACCTCTAGGCCCATAACTCCACTCCTGGCCCATATCTCCACTCCAGGCCCATATCTCTACTGCAGGCCCGTATCTCCACCTCCAGATCCATATCTCCACTCCAGGCCCATATCTCCACTCCAGGCCCATATCTCTACTGCAGGCCCATATCTCCATCTCCAGGCCCATATCTCCATCTCCAGGCCCATGTCTCCACTACAAGCCCATATCTCTACTGCAGGCCCATATCTCAACCTCCAGGCCCATATCTCCACTCCAGGCCCAGATCTCCACTTCTAGGCCCATCACTCCATCTCTAGGCCCATAACTCCACTTCCAGGCCTATATCTCCAACTCTGGGCCCCGATCTCCATCCCCGCACTCCCTCCCTCGATTCCCTTCCAGGACTCACCAACACACGCCATGCTGACGACCATGAGCGACATGGTGCTGTCTGTGCAGACAGGCGGCCGCGCCCCAGCTCAGCTCAGCAGCGCACAGGATGTTATTTGGCGCCCTGCCCATGCAGTTTACATGTTGACCACATCATGGGAGGGTGACGTACGCAGGCTCTTTCTACCTTGCATGAGGCCCAGTGGGTGCTCGCTCAAGAGCGGAACATGGCTTCCTGGAAATTGTTCTCACTAGAATTGACACCTTGCGTCCTTCACTACGACCAGACTCAAAAGACGTCTCAGATCCAACCTCTCATACACGAGATGATTGAATTCTGTGCTTACATTAAAGATTTTTGATGTATTTTTGTTTTTATCTGAGATTCAAACTCTTCTTCATATGTAATGTGCAAAATGTCTAACAGGTATTATTAACATTATCAGAGTAATTGTGACAAGAAGCCATTCTAATTTTCCTGCTTGAGTTTCTAGTACTAAACCAGAGGCATCAGAATAGCTTGAACCTGGGAGGCGGAGGTTGCAGTGAGCTGAGCTCAAGCCACTGAACTCCAGCTTGGGTGACAGAGGAAGAGTCTGTCTCAAGAAAAAAAAAAAGCAAACTAAATAACCTATAATAACAAATCAGAGGACTCAGGTTACCAAATTTTAAGGGGTTCTATAAGTTTATATAAAATGCAGCATCCTCATGAGAGGGGATACAGAGAACCACTGGACAGAAAACTGTGTCTAAAATACATCTGTGGATACACAGTCCCTTTATAGTTGACAAAGGCTGCCATGTAGTTTAAGGTGGAATAGAATATTTTCTCAACAAATAACACAGGACCATAGGGTTACACGTAGGAAAAAATAAATCTAAACTTATCCTCACACTATAAAAACACTTCTTATTTTTTATCTTGTTGTTGTAAATTTTTTATGCTTTATTTTTAAGATTGACAAATAAAAATTATATACCATGGTCCTTCACTATACCTGGGTGATTGGTTCCAGGATCCCCATTCAGATACCAAAATCTGCAGATGCTCAAGCCCCTTGCATGAAATGGCATAGTGAAGCTGGGCACCGTGGCTCACGCCCGTAATCCCAGCACTTTGGGAGGCTGAGCTGGGTAGATCACAAGGTCAGGAGTTCAAGACCAGCTGGTCCAACATTCTGAAACCCCGTCTCTACTAAAAATACACACACAAAAAAATTTATCTGTGCAGGGTGGCACGTGCCTGTAATCCTAGGGGAGGCTACTGAGGAGGCTGAGGGAAGAGAATCGCTTGAACCTGGAAGGCGGAGGTTGCAGTGAGTTGAGATCACGCCACTGCACTCCAGCCTGGGTGAGAGAGTGAGACTGTCTCAAAAAAAAAAATAGCATAGCAATTGCATAGAACCCATGCACATCCTCCTGTATACATGAAATCATCTCTTGATTACTTATAATTCCTGACACAGCCTACACGCCACTCAATTTGTGTCGATTCAACATAGTTTTTTGCTTTTTGAAACTTCGGGGATTTTTTTTCTCAAAATATTTTTGATTTATTGCTGATTCAATAAACATGTGTAAACCCCAGAGATATGGAGGAGTGACTGTCTATTTATAGTAGTATGAAAGATGATGTGTTGATACGTGTCCCTGTGGAGATGAGACTAACAAGGCCTATGACTCTACAAATGTTTCATCGTGGAATGACTCTGCCAGCTTTCCAGATCTGCAGAGAGTAAGAATATCACTTGTTCATCTGATTCACCATCCTTGGAACCTCCTATGTGCTGCATCTTTGGATGGAAACTGGAGTCTCAGAGACAATTCAGGCTCCACCCTGCTTCCAGAAGCTCAGAGTCCAGGGGTGAGAACCCAGCGGAGAACAGATGGGGTTATGTGGACGTGGTAATGATAACACCGGAAGCCTTAGGCAAGAAAAGAGTCCCATTGACGAAACCATGAGGGCAGACATGTTTACTTGAAGAATAGAAAACTACATTGAAATTATAAAAAAAATTTATAAGTTTTACTGCTGACAGAAGGCTGAAAGATACTCTGAGGAAAGGTGGAACAACATGAGGAAAGGTGGAATAGCATGTATCTAAGTGCCGTGTTAAGAGGGAGCCTCTTATATGTTTGGAATTGTGAGTTCCTCAGTGTGATCGCAGCCTCAAGTAGACTAGGAAGTAAGCCAGTTAGGTTGGAGAGGTGGGCAGGGGTCAAGTGAAATGGAGAATTGTGGGCTAAGCAAAGGAGTGTGTTTTCTCTCCAGCAGGCAGTGGGGACCTTAGACATTTGTAAGCAAGAGAGAGGCATGTTCAGATTCGTGGTGTGAGGAAGAGCGATGCCCTAAGATGCAGACTCACGCCTTCAGATTCCAGCTGCTGGTACATGGGAGCTGGCAACCCGGTTTTGAGACAGGGCTATTGTCTCCCTAGAAGATCCCATCAAGGCCTGACTGTGGTGCTGGTGGACAGAAGACAACTTTGGATCTGCGCTCAGCATTTGGAAGTTCCGTGTTACACGCTGGTATCTGTTGGGGGTGTCTTGGGCCTCTGAGAAGGGCGAGTGATTTTTCTCTGTGTGAAAACGCAGTGATTCAACTGTGCGTATGTCACCTCCTGAGGGTCTTGTTCATCAGAGTCCTGGAGGGAGGGAAATGCTGAGTGAGGGAGGGTGCTCACATTTTTCAGGACTCTTTGGGAATAAGACTAGCCATGAGGCTGGGCTGAGGAGCACCTACCTCCCTGTTCACTGTTCTGTTCCCTGCAGGCTCTTGGTCCATTACAACAGCATCTGTAGAAGACGGAAGTCGTCAAAACAGCTCGGAGGGCACTTCTGGGTCCTCATTTCATAAGCAGATACCAACATGCAGGGGGAGGCCATAGGTGCCTGAGGTCCCTCAGTTGCCAACAGCAGACTCAGACATTCTATCTCTCTGAGCTCAAGGACCCATCCCATGAATAGCTCTGAGTTCCCATCCCATTGATTCTGTCTCCCACTTTCTGCCTGTCATGGAACCTTCTCCTGGATGTGAGTGGCTGCAGGGGATGTGAGGATATGGTTCAGAATCAGGCAATGGTCTGTGAGCTGAAGGCAGGGGCAGGGAGTCTGGTGCTCTCTCTAGAAAGTCCTGCCTCTGTGGCTCCTGCCTTGGGTCAGGGACCATCCTGCCTGTAAGGAACACACACCTGAGTGCTCCCATCCTGCTTCCCCACATGGCCCTGAGCTCTCTGGCTTCTGCTTCGTGAGACTTACTCTTTTTGTTGGCACACCAGCGATGAAGGAGAAAGAAGAGGAGGATAGCAAAGGGGATGATGACCACTGAGGTCCCAATCAGAGCGTGCAGGTATCTGGAGTTACCTGGAGGAAGACAAGACACCAATAAGAAGCTAATCATAGCAGTTCCTCTATATGAATTGTCTCACATTTCTTGATTGACAGGTAACCACATACAACGTCTCTTTAGGACAAGCACCCAGATGGCGGGAGACCTAGCTTCCTCCTGCTTTCTCAGTTGTAGTAACCATAGAACGTGCTGAGGATACAACTGCTTTAGTTTAGATGTTTGACCACTTCAAACCTCACATTGAAATGTAACCCCCAGGGTGGGAGGTTGGGCCTCTTGGGAGGTGTTTGGGTCATGGAGGTGGATCCATCATGAACAGATCAATGCTGTCCCAAGGAGATGGGGTTAGCAAGTTCCCCCTCTATTAGTTCCTGGAGAGCTGGTTGTTAAAAAGAACTTGGAAGCTCCATCGCTCCCCCTCCCCCTTGCTCCCTCTCTTGCCGTGTGATCTCTGTGGTCTCTGCACAGATAGACCCTCCTTCCCTTCTGCCAGAGCGGGAGCAGCCTGAGGCCGTCACAAGAAATAGATGCTGGTGCCATGCTTCCAGTACAGCCTGCAGAACTGTGAGGCAAACACATTTCTTTTCTTTAGAAGTTACCCAGGCTCAAGTGTTCCTTTAGAGCAACAAAAATGGACTAAGACAGCAAAGTCCTGAGATCAGGAGGAACATCCCAGAACAGCCTGGGCTGTCTTCCTGTTCTTCCTGGAGGAGGACGTCATGCAGTGCTTTAGCTGAGTGCTTCCTGTGGCTCCAGGGTACAAAACCCAGGCTGGGCTGCTTTTTGATTTCCCCCAGATACACTGCATATGGGGTGACTCCACATGTCTCGAGCAGCTTTTCTGAGCCTTGAGGGACTGGCTCACATTGAAATGTAGGCTTCTGTTGTCACTCGCTGCTTATCTGTTAGTAATGAACCTGCCTGTGTAATGTGTTCTCTGTGTGTTCTGTCTCCCTGGAGTGACGGTGAGTGATAGGAATTGGTATAGGCCCAGGTACATTCCAGGAGGTGTTTAGAGTCTTCTCTGGGAAGACTGGATTGGGATTGATACACAGCGAATGTGCTTTACAGTTTCTACCACCACAACCCTCTTGACTCAAAAAAATTACATTCTCCAAGAAAAGAAAGAAAAAATGAAATCAAGATAAAAAAAGTGAAGTAGAACTGACTTAAATCAAACAGCCATGAAATAATGATGTAGCCCAGGAACAACATGCTACTTTTTGTGATCTGCTGAGACATATATTAGGCTGCTATTCCACCCGAGAAGCACGGGGAAGGACCGCCCTCTCCGTCGTTTATTGTTTCAATACAGCCTGTCCTTCTGTGAGTTAGTACGAAATGTGACCAGGGGCTAGTGCTGGCACTGGTCTCTGAGTCCAAGATCTGAGCTCACTCCAAAGAGTATTAGTGTTTACCTCCCCATGATCTATCTGTATCTCCATAGGTGATTGGAAGTAGAGATGAATTGGGGGATTTGGGTGAAGGGGCAAGTTTTATGCCATGAACAGAGCACGTTCTCTATTCCAGGACCTGTGCTGGTGGGTTCAGGAGGCTTTCACATTTTCCATATGATCCCAAGCTCACAGAAAGCCAAATAAGGAAGAGGTTTAACCTGATTGTTTAATGGATAAGATAAAGGGTCAAAGAATTAAACACAGAGAAATAGAAAAATGATGGTTGGTATCCAGTTGCCTTTGTAATTTCTGTGTGTCATAATTATGTATGTTTTATTTTTATTTTTTGAGACAGAGTCCCCCTGTGTCAGGCTGGAGTGCAGTGATGCGATCTCAGTTCAACCTCTGCCTCCAGGGTTGAAGCCATTCTTCTGCTTCAGCCTCCCCAGTCGCTGGGATTACAGGCAGGTGCCAATGCACCAGGCTAATTTTTGTATTTTTAGTACAGACGGGGTTTCACCATGTTGGCCAGGCTGGTCTCAAACTCCTACCCTTAAGTGATCTACCCGCCTTGGCCTCCCAAAGTGTTGGGTTACAGGTGTGAGCCCCCATCCACAGTCTTGTATATTATATTATACTAGGTCCCTTCATTTGCACCACCCCTCATGTGTCTATCGCTCCTCTGCCAGGTATTGATTTAGATGTAGAAAAAAAACACATCTCAGAAAGAAATTAATGAAACAAGGATTAAACTACTAGGAAAAATCAAACCCAGCAAGCCCTCCCTGCAAATGATTCTACCTCACAAGCATAGCTTATATCCATCTTTCATTCATTTAGTGTGTAAATCAACCCTACGTTTCACCAGTGGGGCGGGAATTGCCTTTTCCACGGTCTCCTAGATTCCAGTTACGCACCTGGGCCTCCCTTATTTTCATGTCGGTCACTGTTAATCAGGTAGGGATTCCTAGTTAGCTCTGAGTTGAATCCAAGGGCTGTGAGTATCAAAAACATGCTCCTTGTTCCTCCTTAGTTTCCTGTGTACCCAGTGTGCTCTCCATCTCTCTACAGTTGTCTTGTCATTCTCCCCATCTCATTCCCAGCATTTGAGGCAGAGCCTCTTCCTTGAACTAAGAATGTTTCCACCTTTGTGCCTTCACGGCTGAGAGCTCAGTGTGGAAAATCCTTCCGCCAATCTTCCAAGGGTTGAATCCATTTTTTCCATTAAGGTCACAAATATTATCTGATCAGTGAGACCTTCTCTGTCACCTGAAATTATATACTCAGCATTATCTATTACTTATTTTAAATCCTGGCTGGGCGCAGTAGCTCTCGCCTGTAATCTTTGCACTTAGGGACGCTAAGGCGGTGGGATCACTTGAGATTGGGAGTTTGAGACAGCCTGCACAACATGGTGAAACCTCATTTCTACTAAAAAATATACCAAAAAAATTAGCCGAGTGTGGTGGCGCACAGCTGTAATCCCAGCTACTCGGTAGGCTGAGGCAGGAGAATTGCATGAACCCAGGAGGCAGAGGTTGCAATGAGCTGAGATTGTGCTACTGCACTCCAGCCTGTGGAACAGAGAGAGACTCTACTCAAAAAAAAAAAAGAAAACAAAAAACACACACACACACAAAAAACCCCAGATTTGGTGCACAGATGCTTCCCAATGGATCATTCATTTATTGGTACCCTTGTGCATTCATTCTCTGCCCTCGCATTTACCCATCTGCAATATCAGCGTCCCAAGAGCAGAGGCCAAATGCATCCTGTTTACCATTTGTGGAAGGCAGGAGAATGCTGCCCCACCCCCAAAATGTCCCTGTCTTAGCCTCCATAGCTTGTGAATATGTTATTTTACAGGAAAGGAGGAATGAAGATTGCAGATGGCATTACGGTTGCTAATCAGCTGAACTTAAAAAGAGGGTACGCTGGATGATTTTAGGGAGATTGAGATGGATTATCTTGGTGACCCCAATAGAATCCCAAAGTCCTTAAAAGATGAGGAAGAAGGCAGAGCAGGATTCAGAGAAAAAGGTATGGGTAAAGAAGAAGAGTCTGAATGATGCCATGTGAGACGTGACCAGCCTTTGTGGGCTTTGAGGAAGGAGGAAGGAGGAAGGGGACCAGGGGCCCAGGAACGTGGGAGCCTCTAGGAGCTGGGAAACGTTAAGGAGCAGATTCTTGCTTGGAACCTTAAAAAGAAATCCAGCCTTACTGTCCCTTTGATATCAGCCCAGTGAAATGCAGTTCATACTTCTGAGTTACAGCACTGTGAGATAATTAAGAAAAACATGTTTTCATCCACGAAGCTTGTGGAAATTTGTTATGGCAACAATAGGAAAAGATTCCACACTGCACAGCCAGAGCATGGGGCATTGGCTGAACGAGTGAGTGAGTGGAAGTGTCGTGTGCATAAATAAGCTAAATTCTCTCTTACTGCACGTCTCTTGCTCTGCTGAGTCAACCAGGGTTGCATCTGGTACACTGCTGATACGAATGCAAATTAGTACAGCCATTACAGAGGAGAAGAGTATGGAAGTTCCTCAAAAAATAAAATGAGGTCGGGCACAGTGGTTCATGCCTGTAATCCCAGCACATTGGGAGGCCGAGGTGGGTAGGTCACTTGAGGTCAGGAGTTGAAGAGCAGCCTGGCCAATATAGCGAAACTCTGTCTCTACTAAAAATATAAAAATTAGCCGAGTGTGGTGGTGGGAGCCAGTAACCCAGCTACTTGGGAGGCTGAGGCTGGGGAATCTCTTGAATCCTGGAGGTGGAGGTTGCAGTGAGCCCAGATGGCACCACTGCACTCCAGCCTGGGCAACAAGAGTGAAACTGTCTAAAAAAAACAAAAACAAAAACAAAAACCATAAAACAAAATGTAAAAAGACACTTCCAGAGGATCTAGCAATTCCATGACTGGGTGTAAACCCAAAGGAAAGGACATCAGCGTATCGAAGTGACATCTGCACTCCCATGACTGTTCCAGCAGTGTTCACAGTAGCCAAGATGTGGATCAACCTACCTGCCCATCAGTGGGTGAATGGATGGAGAGAATGTGGTACACACACACAATAGGGACAACTCATCCATAGAAAGAGTAACATCCTGTCATTTACAGCCACATGAATGGAACTGGAGGTCATTACAAGTATTTCCATTTCTCACTCATATGCAGGAGCTAAAAGGTGGATCTCACAAAGGTAGAGAGTAGAATGGTGGCTACCAGAGGCCAGGAAGGGAAGGGTGGAGGGTAAAAAAAAAAGAATACTAATTAATTAATTAATTAATTTTGAGAGAGTGTCTCTCTCTGTTGCCCAGGCTGCAGTGCAGTGGCATGATCTCAGCTCACTGCAACCTCCGCCTCCTGCAATTAAGTGCAACTCCTGCCCAACCCTCCCAAGTAGCTGGGACTACAGGCATGTGCCACCATGCTCGGCTAATTATTATCATTATTATTATTATTTTGTATTTTTAGTACAGATGGATTTTCCCCATGTTGGCCAGGGTGGTCTTGAGCCCCTGATCTCAAATGATCCACCTGCCTTGGCCTCTCAAAGTGTTGGGATTACAACAGTGAGCCACCGTGCCCAGCCTATAAATGTATTTATGAACAGTAGACTTCACACTTAAAAATGGTAAAGGTGGTAAATTACATAGGTATATTTCACCTCAATAAATATTTCTTCAAACAAAAAGAAAAGGGTGTAGGCGTTGCTGGTGATGACATCTCTCTGTGGGTGACAGGCCAGGATGGGCTTCTGGGAAGTGGGTAAGGTTGAGGGGCTGAGAGAACCTCTGATCTCCCCAGGCAGAGCCCAGTCTCCCTCCTCTGGGTCTGTTCTGACCTCTTTCTCCATCTGCCTGGGTGCCTGGAACCCTGATCAAGGGCCTCCTTGCAGGCCATACAGGAGGGTTTGGAGGTGCCCTGTCTGCCATCCTGCCCCCTGACCCCGCCCTTACACCCATGCTGTGTGTTCTGTCTCGGCATCTGTCCATGCTTCTCTCCATCATCAGCAGGAAGCTCCTCAGCTATGGCTCTAGGATCACAAGACATGGGACAGGCATGGTGTTTTCTCACCTGTGACAGAAACGGGCAGTGGGTCACTCGGGTCTGACCACGCGTGGGGCAGGGCACGGAAAGAGCCGAAGCATCTGTAGTTCCCTCCGTGGGTCACAGGGCCCAGAGGGAAGTTGGCCTGGAATGTTCCATTGACCCTCAGCACCGCAGTGAGCCTAAGTTCACCGGCCTCTGCCTCCCTGGATAGATGGTAAATGTCAAACAAGCTCCGGGAGCTGCAGGACAAGGTCACATTCTCTCCTGCCTGAACCGTGGGGCCCGGCTGGGCTGAGAGAGAAGGTTTCCCATATAGACCTGGAAGGAGAAGAGGTGGTTTCCTCAGGGAGGTTCTTCGTTGTCACAGCTCTCCTCACACCTGAGCTGAGAACTCACTCCCCTGCTCTATGACTTAATGCTCTCTTTCTCTCTCTCACCCTCCACCCCCATCTCTCTTCATGTCTATTTCCTCCTTCCACCTTCTCTGTCTCTCTAGGTCTCTGACCTCACTTCTCCATCCCTAGCTATGTTTTCTTTTTTTGTACCATTTTATTCTCTCTGACCCTCCTTGGACTGGTTGACTTGATCTTCCTCTTTCTTTAATTCTGAGTCTCTCACTTTCTGTCTTGCTCATAACTTTCTGCATATTTCTATCTACTATCTATTGATCGATCTATCATTTATCTATGTATGTATCTATCATCTATCATCATCTGTGTATCTATGACCTATCTCTCTGTTATCTATCATCTATCAATCAATGTATGTATGTATGCATCTATCCATCTATCATCATGTGTTTATCTTTCTATCTCTCTATATCTATTTATATATCATCTGTCTGTCTTTCTACTTGTCTATCTATATCATCTATCAGTCATTCATCATCTATTTGTCTATCACCTGTCTCTCTATTATCTATCATCTACCTTTTATCTTTCATCTATCTATATCTATCTATCCATCTATCATCTGTCTCTCTCCATCTCCTTGTCTTTCTCTGCCTCTCAGTCTCTCTAGTTCCCTTTTGGAGTCTCTGCAATCCATCCCCACATCTTTATCTTTCCCTGTCTTTGTGCCCCTCCCTCAGGGCTCTGATTTTAGGGCTTTTCTCTGCTTCCTTCCATCATACGCTCCACTTCTCTGCCCTCTTTTTCTATCTCTTTATGTGTCTGTGAGTCTCTCAATTCCCTTCTTCTGGCTCATTCTGTGTGTGTGTTCATGTCTTTGCTTTTTGATTTCCCTGATTTCACTCCGTGTCTCTCTGTGGGCTTTTGTTCTCAGTAATCCTATAACATGTGGTGCTATTTGAATATGAGCCTCAGAATCCAGTATGGGGACTCCAGGAACTCACAACATACAGGGGTTGGTGTTCTGCTCCCTCACCTGGGGCCATGGTGTCCTGCGACGACGACAGCTCCACTGCACGGAAGGCAGAGGTTTAAGAATAAACACAGCATCTGTAGGTGCCACCAGCCTGGGGCCACACGGCCCAACTCAGGCCAGATAGATGTGTCTCTTTGGGTTCTCCTGGGAGAGAACACTTTGTAGAGGTAAAACAGAATGGAACCTTCTAACCTGTGCCTGGTCTCTGAACAAAGTCAGCATAGAAGGACACCTCTCTCTGGGATATATCTGTCTCTCTGTGTCTTCTTTACCTCTTTATCTCTTTTTCTAACACCTTGTATGGCCCCTGTGTCTGGCTTCTATGTTATGACATGAGGTCTGTACTTGTGTCTCCTGTTTCTCTGCCTTTGTTGGTACAGACCTCACCAAGTCACTTTCTCTCCATAGGAACCCCACACTCATCTTCCTCATGACCACCTGGGGCTTCCAGTCCTAGATCATTCACTCCATCTCCCAGCAAGGGTGAGAGGCAGGTCTGTATTCTCTCACCTACGACCACGATGTCCAGAGGGTCACTGGGAGCCGACAACTCATAGGGTAAGTGAGTGACAGAACCAAAGCATCTGTAGGTCCCTGCAAGGGCAGGTGTCATGGGACCCATGGAATAGTTGACCTGGGAACCCGCATCGTGGAGCTGTCCAATGAGGCGCAAGGGGTCCTCAGTGATCCCCTCTCTGTGCAGAAGGAAGCGCTCAAACCTGACATCTGACCAACATTGCAGGATGACCGTCTCTCCCGATTTCACCAGGGGACCTGGGTGGGCCAGGAGGGAAGGTTTTCTGTGGACTCCTAAGAAGAGAGGTTGTGAGTTCAGAAGGCGTCTCCCTTTCTCATCCCATTCATGGGACCTGAAATAAGTGAGGCTTCCCCTCCATGGTGTCTATCTCTCTCCTTCCTCTCTGTGTCTCCGTGTTCTTTTGTGCCCATAACCCCTGTTGCAGGTCCCTCCATCTGTCTCCCTCCCTCTTCCCTGTCTCTCTGTCTCTAGTAGCCCTGATTCCCTTCCCACTGTGCTCAGTGTCACCTCTTATGCTGTTGTATCTGTTTCCCACTAATCTCTTTCCTGGTGTTTATGTGGGGGTGGAAGAGGAACCACGACAGGCTGCATGTCCAGGCTCTTAGCAGCCTGAATCAATCTCTTTTGGACAGATTGGAAAGGCTGGCAGGAGGTACGAACTCATCAGTAAGGCAGGCATCAGTGTCCCTGTTCCTGATGGGGATTGGGAGCCTCTCCTGTCATGTCTGTGCCTTCTCCATGGCCCCAGCTTCCATAGGGTGGCCCCTGGTGCTGGTTCCAGGAGCATCAACCCCTCCCTATGTGGATCGAGCCTGGTGGTAGCATCAGTATCCCACCCATGCTAAAATCAGTGTAGCCAACCTTCTCCTTGTTTGGTTTCTTAACTTGTGCTTCACCTGGGTTCCTGTGTTGGTTTCCTGTTGCTGCTGGAGAAAATTGTCACAAACATGGGGCAGGAGAGAATACAATGACCCCTTCCACTTCTGGAGAACAGAAATCGGACCCAGTTCTCTCTGGGCTAAAATCAAGGCATCTACAGGGCTGTGTTTCCTCTGGAGACTCAGGGAAGAATCAGTTCCCTTGACTTCTCCAGCCCTTAGAGGCCAACTGCCTTTGTGGCTCATGGCCTTCCCCCATCTTCAAAGCCCGCTGTGGCTGATGGAGTCTCCCTCCCACGACGTTGCTCTAACCCCACTTTCCTCTTCCTCCTCCTCTCATGAGGACCCTTGTGATTACTCTGAGCACAGCAGGACAGTCCAGGCTGTCTCCCCATCGCAAGGTCAACCCATCAACAACCTGAGCTCCATCTTCCCCTTCAGTCCCCTGCCCTATGACATAAATAGTCACAGGGTTCATGGATTACCATGTAGCCATCACTGGGGACAATTATTCTTCCCACCACAGCAACTATTTCTCTGTACTGAATCCCCCTTTACCCCAAATACAGTCTGGGCCTGGATGATTGGACCCTGATGGACACCCCCACCAGAAGCTCTGGGATTCAGGAGGTGGGACAGTGAGAAGCCCAGACAGAAAGCCTCTGACCTGTGACCATGATCACCACAGGGTTGCTGGGTGCCGACCACCCAGTGGGGGAGTGTGGGTGTGAACTGCAACATCTGTAGGTCCCTGCATGTGCTGGGGTCACAGGGCCCATGAGAAAGCTGTTCCGGAATATTCTGTTGTAGAGCTCAGGGACAGGCATCCCGTCTTCTTTGGACAGACTGAATTCGTTAAACCCAAGACGAGAGCGACACTGAAGAGTCACATGTTGTCCTTCAGACACCACAGTGCCGGGCCAGGCAGAGAGGAAGGGCTTGTCCTGACCACCTGGGGGAGAAGGAGGCACTACCTTAGAGAGGAGGATGTGGAGCCGCCCCTCCCTCCCTGTGCTCAGAAGATTCTCCCATTTCCACGTTTCTAAGGCTCCTACCACACCTGGGTGCCCAGGGCTACAGGAAGGACCCATCCCGCATAGACATGGCGTCTCCCTACAGCAAGTGTCAGCTGAGAACTTTGAGCAGGTGCTGAAGAAGCGACTCTTACTAGATTTTAACACTGCAAAATTACTTACATAAAAGAACACAAGGTAGACACAGGATGGAGGGCATGATCAGCTAATGCATGAACCATAATAAACAACTGAGCCCCTATTAGAAGATCTGGAATGTCAGGGTCATGACTGTGGTTCCCCCACCTCTTAGGTAGAATGACAGCAGCCACATTGCAGCCCCTACCGTCATGGAAACGCTGGAGGGTGTGAGTTATGCTCTTGTCCTCAGAGGCCTGTTGTTCCTTGCACTGCTTCTCTCCCTTCCTCTGCCGGTGACACCACTTCCTCCCTGCACACCACTCCTTTGAGCACTTCAGTCTCCCCCTGGGTCCCCACAGACTCAGCCAAGGGAAAGAAAGGCCGGGGAGGGCTAGGACAGAACTGTGGCGAAGCTTCCCCTGGCTTCCTTTTCCTAGTTCATGAGAGATTCCCACATGGCTTCCCATGGTCAGCCCATCAGTCAACCCCCTGTGTCGCCTGCCTCCCGTTTCAGGAACATCATCTTATGTGGGGAGATGACAACCTAAGGTTTGGGGGAAGGACTCACCCACATGTGGCCAGGGCCCCTCCAGCAAGAAGAACCCTGGAAAGAAAGATCATGATGGATGATCCATCTGTACATCACCTCCAGGCCCATATCTCCACTCCAGGCCCATATCTCCACTTCCGTCCTATATCTCTACTCCAGGCCCATATCTCCACTCCAGGCCTATATCTCCACCTCTGTCCTATATCTCTACTCCAGGCCCATATCTACACTCCAGGCCCATATCTCCACCTCCAGGCCTGTATCTCCACCTCCAGGCCCGTGTCTCCATTCCAGGCCCATATCTGCACTCCAAGCCAACATCTCCACTCCAGGCCCATATCTCTACTCCAGGCCCATATCTACAGTTCCAGGCCCATATCTCCACCTCCAGGCCCATATCTCCACTCTAGGCCCATATCTCCACCTCCAGGCCCGTATCTCAATTCCAGGTCCATATCTGCACTCCAAGCCAATATCTCCACTCCAGGCCCATATCTACAGTTCCAGGCTCATATCTCTACTCCAGGCCCATATCTCTACTTCAGGCCCATATCTACAGTTCCAGGCCCATATCTCCACTCCAGGCCCATATCTCCACCCCAGGCCCATATCTCCACTCCAGGCCTATATCTCCACTCCAGGCCCATATCTCCACTCCAGGCCCATATCTCCACTCCAGGCCCAGATCTCCACCCCACCGCTCCCTCCCTCGATTCCCTTCCAGGACTCACCAACACACGCCATGCTGACGACCATGAGCGACATGGTGCTGCCGGTGCAGACAGGCGGCTGCGCCCCAGCTCAGTTCAGCAGCACACAGGATGTTGTGAGGGGCTCATGCAGTTTACATGCTGACCACATCATGGGAGGATGACGTATGCAGGCTATTTCTACCTTGCATGAGGCCCAGTGGCTGTTTGGTCAAGAGCAGAACATGGCTTCCTGGAAATTGTTCCAACTAGAATTGACACCTTGCATCCTTCACTATAACCAACTCAAAACACGTCTCAGATCCAATCTCTCATACAGGAGATGACTGAATGCTTGGCTTACATTAAAGACTTTTGATGTATTTTTGTTGTTTTTATCTGAGATTCAAACTCTTCTTCATGTGCTATTTTCCCCAGGCTGTTCTTTGACTTCAGAGTTCAAGCAATCCTCCTGCCCCAGCATTTCTAGCAGCTGGCAGTATGTCACAATCTGCCACACCCAAGTCACAACTTTTAGAACTTTTTTTTTTTTTGAGATGCAATCTCACTTCGTCACCCAGTTTGGAATGCAGTGGTGAGACCTCGGCTCATTGCAGCCTCCACCTCCCAGGTTCACGCAATTCTCGTGCCTCAGCCTCCTAAGTAGCTGGATTTACAGGCACCCACCACCACGCCCACCTAATTTTTGTACTTTTAGTAGAGAGGAGGTTTCTCCATGTTGGCCAGGCTGGTCTTGAACTCCTAACCTCAAGTGATCTGTCTACTTCAGCCTCCCAAAGTGCTGAGATTACAGGTGTGAGCCACCATGCCTGGCCGGGACATTCTATATGTGTGCGTATGTGTGCATTTATATACATATGGTTATACACACACACACACACACACACACACACCCTAAGCACTCACATATATAGTTGTTTCAAATTTTAAAAAATATAAATTTTGTATTTTTCTTTCTTTTTCTCACATTTGTGTTTCTATGACACCATATACATATTGAATTTTATAGCTCTATTTTATTCTTTTGGATTGCAGTTTAATAGTCCATGCATAACTTTATCAACATGTAATTATCCATTCTTTTTATCATGGACATTTGTGTTGTTTCCGGATTTTCTCTTTTATAACTCGGGCCTTGATAATCGTGTTTCTGTGTGATCCCTTGCATACATATGCTGAATTAATTAGACATATTTACCTAGAAATGAAATTATTGGTTTTGGGTGCAAGTTGGTGTTGAGCTTAACCAGGAAGTGCCAAAATATTTCCATCATGACCAAATGTGGCCTGGAAAGTTTTTTGGGGTCAATTTTCCTGTTTCTTCTAAGGAACAAAATTGATGTCACTGATTTTTCTGTCCTGTTTGTCATTTATGAATGTATGTACATATGCACGTATATATTTGCTTGCCATTTTATGTTTTTCCTCGACGTTACTTTGGAATTAATTTGCTGATGTGTAGTATTTCTGCAAGTGAAAGTTACCTATTTACTCAGCTCTTCCTTCTTTTCTAACACAGACATTTGAGGCTTATTGTCCCTTAACGCTGTTCTATCTGTATCCCCAGTCATTTGCCGAGATGTGTTTTCATTTTTAATTGATACAAAATATTTTCCACCTTTCTTTGAAATGTTTTTCTTCCACTCATTGTTTATTGCTATGTGTGTTTATTAATTTTAAAATATTTGATAATTTCCCCAGCATTTCCTTGTTGTACATTTATAATTTAATTCAACTGTTTCATCTATCATATTACCTATGATTCAGCATTTAAAAATTTATTTTGGTGAATGTTCCAGGGGTGCTAGACAAGTTTGTGGATTAGGAAGATTTGAGGTGGATGTTTTCTAAATGTCAGTTAAGAAAAAAATCATTCAAATGTTTTTCTTTATTTAAAAAAAATAGAGACGGGGTCTCACTATGGTGCCCAGGCTGGTCTCAAACTCCTGGCCTCAAGTGATCCTCCCATTTTGGCCTCCCAAAGTGCTAGGATTATTGAAATTATTAAATGTTTCATATCAACACCCAACCTTATGCACCCGCCGCCTACACAAATGTTTTTCAAGTCTTTCATATGCTTAATAATTTTCTGTGTACTTGTTCTGGAAGTGAGGTGAATGTTGCTATCTCTAGCTGCAATTTGGATGTGATTGATTATGTTTTGAATTATGCCTTTAATTTAATGTGTTTTGAGGTTCCAGCTTTAAGTGTGTAGGCATTTAGGATGATTATGTCTTATTTATGAATTTGCCTCTTTGTCATTATGAAGTACTCCTCTTCATATCTCCATATATCTCTTCTTTGTATGTGCATGGTGAAATATTTCATTCTTTGAGTTAAGAAACTTCTATTGAGGAATACTTTTTATTACAAACATTTACCTATTCTATGTATACAACTGACTAGAAGCATATTTTGCACTGGGCATTATCATGACAAGGTAATGTCATTCTTTCAATATTTACATCTTGTGGATTAGTATTTGAAGTGCAGCTTATGTAGACAGCATAAGGTTGGGTGTTGATATGAAACATTTAATAATTGCACACGTATTTGCCTCTTGGGATACTTCCACTTTTTTGAATTTCAAGTTACTAAATGGTATCATTAATCTTTGCTTCAAGAGCTTAACATTTATTGTAGAACAATGCTTCATGTAATAAATTGTGAGACATTTTTAATGGCACCTTTATTGCAGGAAAATGTTTTCCTTTTCAGGTTGAAAGATTCTAGTTTGAAATATTTTCTTGTAGCACTTTAAAAATGTTGGTCCACCTGTTTCTTACTTTCATAGTTTTGAATACAAAGTTTGCTGTCATTCTTGTATTTCTTCTTCTGTTTTTTATTTATTTATTTTTGACAGAATATCTTGCCGTCTCACCCAGGCTGGAGTGCAGTGGCATGATCTTGGCTCACTGCAACCTCTGCCTTCCAGGTTTCAGCAATTCCTGCCTCAGCCTCCTGAGTAGCTGGGACTACAGGCATGCGCCACCATACCCAGCCAATTTTTTTTTTTGTATTTTTTTTTTGTAGAGATGAAGTTTTGCCATATTGGCCAGAACTCCTGACCTCAAATGATCCACCTGCTTTGGCCTCCCAAAGTGCTGGGATTACAGGTGTGAGCCACTGTGCTCAGGCTATTTATTCCTTTTTATATAATATGAATTCACATTCATACATACCAGGGGTTAGGATTTCAACAAACGTTTCTGGGGGAGACCACTCAAAACACAGCACTCATCCTTGGTTATTTCCAGCCATGGAGCCTGTATCAATATCCTGGTGAATTATCTAAGCTGTCCACCTACCTACCCCAAATCCTCATGGTCACATAAAAGGCTAGTATAGTATAATAATTTTTCTTTCCCTGCTTATCTACAGTGATGAAGAAACGAATATTCAAAGGGAAAAATCTTAGCTTTAGGTATAGGGTAATTCTTCTTCCTATTTTTAAATAACTTCAACCTTTACTGTAGATTAAAGGTATGCATGCAGGTTTGTTACATAGGCATATTGTGTGACTCTGAGGTTTGTGGTTCCAACAATGCCATCACCCAGGCAATGAGCATAGAATCCAACAGGTGTTTCTTCAGCCTATACCTCCCTACTCCTCCCCCCATCTGTAGTCCTCGGTATCTGTTGTTTCCATCTTTATGTTCATGTGTATTCAATGTTTGGTTCTCAGTTATAAGTGATAACATGTGGTATTTGGTTTTCTGTTCCTGGGTTAGTTCACTTAGGAGATTGACCTCCTGCTACATTCATGTTGCTGCAAAGGACATGATTTCATTATTTTTTATGGCCATGTAATGTTCCATGTGTATATGTAGCACATTTTCTTTAACTAATCCACTGTTGGTGAGCACTTAGGTTGACTGCAAATCTTTGCTATTCTGAATTGCACAGCAATGAATATACTAGTGCATGTGTCTTTTTGACATAGTTAATTACCTTCCTTTTGGTATATACCCAGTAGTGGGATTGCTTGATTGAATAGTAGTTCTATTTTAAGTTATTTGAGAAGTCTCCAAACTGCTTATCACATTGGCTGAACTAGTTAACATTCCCACCAAGAGTGTATAAGTGTTCCCTTTTCTCCACAATCTTGTCAGCATCTGTTATTAAAAAAAACAAAAAACTTTTTAGTAATTGCTTCTGCTTCTCTGATTGTTGTGAGATGGTATCTCACTGTGGTTTTAATTTGCATTTCTCTGATGATTACTGATAATAAGCATTTGTTCATATGTTTTTTGGCCATGTGTACATCTTCTTTTGAGAAGTGTCTGTTCATGTCATACTTAATTGAGGTTTTTTGGTTTTCTGCTTGTTGATTTGTTTACATTCCTTATAGATTCTGGATATTAGAACTTTGTCAGATGCATAGTTTGCAAATATTTTCTCCCAGTCTGTAGGTTATCTGTTTACTCTGTTGATACTTTCGTTTGCTGTGCAGAAGCTCTTCAGTTGAGTTAGGTCCCAATTTCTGTCTTTGTCACAATTGGTTTTGGGGAGTTAGCCATAAATTCTTTGCCAAAGTCTATCTTGAGAAGGATATTTCCTAGGTTTTCTTCTAGAATTTTAATATTTTGAGGTTTTACATTTAAATCTTTAAACTATCTTGGGTTAATTTTTGTATATAGTGAGAGTTAGGGGTCCAGTTCTATTATTTTGCATATGAGTAGTCAGTTATCCCAGAACTATTTATTGAAGAAAGGGTACTTTCCACATTGCTTGTTTTTGTCAATTTTTTCAAAGATGATTGTAGGTATGTAGCCTCATTTCTGGGTTCTCTATTCTGTCTCATTGGTCTATGTGTCTGTTTTTGTAGTAGTATCATGCTGTTTGGGTTACTATAGCATTGTAGTATAGTTTGAAGTTGGGTAATGTGATGCCTGGGCTTTGTTCTTTGTGCTTAGGATTCCTATGTGTATTCAGGCTCTTTTTTTGGTGCCAAATACATTTTAGAATAAATTTTTATAATTTCGTGAAAAATGACATTGCATTTTGAAATGGATAGCATTGACTCTGCAATTTGTTTTTGGAAGTATGGCGATTTTAACTATTTGTTCTCCTAATTCATGAGCATGGAATATTCTTCCATTTGTTTGTATCATTTCTTATTTCTTTCAGAAGTGTTTTGTAGTTCTCCTTGTAGAGAATTTTCACCTTCTTGGTTAGATGGATTCCTAGGTATTTTATTTTCTTTGTGGCTAGTGTAAATGGAATTGTGTTCTTGATTTAGTTCTCAGCTAGAATGTTAGTGGTGCATAGAAATGTTACTAATTTGTGTACATTTTTTTAATCCCGAAACTTTATTGAATTTGTTTATCAGTTTCAGGAGCCTTCTGACAGAGTCTTTAGGGTTTTCTATGTATAAAATTATTTCATCAGCAAAGAGAGACAGTATCACTACTTCTTTTCCAATTTTAATGCCTTTTATTTCCTTCTCTTGCCTGATTGCTTTGGCTAGGACTTCCAGTACCATGTTGAATTAAAATGGCGGGAGTGGTCATCTTGGTCTTGTTTCGGTTCTCAAGGGGTATGGTTCCAGCTTTTGCCCATCAATATGATGTTGGCTGTGGGTTTGTCATAGATGGCTCTTAATATTTTGAGGTATGTTCCTTTGATGCCTATTGACAGTTTTTATCATGAAGGGATGTTGGATTTTACAGAAAGCTTTTTTTGCATCTATTGAGATGATCATATAGTTTTTGTTTTTAATTATGTTTATGAGGTGAATCACATTCGTTGACTTTGTAGGTTGAACCAACCTTGCATCCCAAAAATAAAGCTTACTTGATCATGTGAATTAACTTTTGATGCACTGACAGATTCAATTTGCTAGCATTTTGTTGAGGATTTTATGTCTATGTTCATTAAGGATATTTAGATGTAATTTTCTTTTTTTCATTATGTCTCTGACAGATGTTGGTATCATGGTGATGATGGCTTCATAGAATGAGTTAGGAAGAAGCCCCCACTCCTTGATTTTTTCCAAAAGTTTCAGTAAGATCGGTATCAGTTCTTCTTTGTATGGCTGTTGGATTTTGGCTGTGAATCCGTCTGGTCCTGGGCTATTTTTAGTTAGTAGGGTTTTTATTACTGATTAAATTTCTGAACTTGTTATTGGTCTGTTCAGGTTTTCACCTTCTTCCTGGTTGAAATATGATAAATTTTGTGTTACCAGGAATTTATCCATTTCTTCTAGGTTTTCTAGCTTGTTTGTATAGAGGTGTTCATAATAGTCTTTGACGATCTTTTCTATTTCTGTGGGATTGTTCGTAACATTGTTTTGTCAGTTCTATTTGTGTTTATTTGGATCTTTTCTCTTTTTCTTTGTTAATCTAGCTAACAGTCTATGAATTTTGTTTATTTTTTTTCAAAGAAAAACTCTTGGTTTTATTTATCTCTTGTATGGACTTTTTGGTCTCAATTTATTCAGTTCTCTCTGACTTTAGTTATTTCTCATCTTTTGCTGGCCTTGGGTTTGGACTGTTCCTTTTTTTTAATAGTTCCTCTAGATGCAGTGTTAAGTCACTAATTTGAGATCTTTCTAAACTTCTGATGAGGCATGTATTGCTATAAATTTTCCTCTTATCACTGCTTTAACTGCATCCCAAAGGTTTTGGTAAGTTTGTTTCTATTTTTATTAATTTTAAATAATGTTTTGTGATTTCTGCTTTAATTTCATTGTTCACCCAAGAGTTCTCAAGGGGTACAGTTCCAGCTTTTGACCATTCAATATGATGTTGGCTGTGGATTTGTCATAGATGGCTCTTAATATTCATTCAGAAACAAGTTGTTAAATTTCCATGTTTTTCTGTAGTTTTGAGAGATCATCTTGGTATTTTTTTCTATTTTTATTGTGTGCCTTGTTATGATTTTGATTCTTTGAATTTATTGAGACTTGCTTTGTGGCCAGTCTTAGAATATGATATGTTTTTTGTGTGTGCAGATAAGAAGAATCTATATTCTGCAGTTGTTGGGTGGAGTACTCTGTAGATGTCTATGAGGTCCAATTGGTCAAGTGTTGTCTTTAAGACCAGAATTTCTTTGTTAGTTTTCTGTTTTAGTGATTCATCTGACGTTGTTAGTGGGATACTGAAGTCCCTTACTATTATTGTGTGGCTGTCTAACTCTTTTCATAGGTGAAGAATAACTTGTTTTATGAATCGGAGTGCTCCAAATTTGGGTGCATATATATTTAGAATAGTTAAGTCTTCTGTCAAATTGAACCCTTTATCATTTTGTAATGCCCTTCTTTGTCCTTCCTGATTGCTGTTGATTTAAAGTGTGTTTCATGTGATATAAGAATAGGAATGCCTTCCTTTTTTTTGTTTCCTGGTTGCCTAGTAAATATTTCTTCATCCTTTTACTTTGAGCCTGTGGGTGTCATTACATGTGAGATGGGTCTCTTGAAGACAGCAGGCAGTTGGCTCTTGGCTTTTTATCCACGTTGCCACTCTATGCCTTTTATGTGGGGAATTTAGGCCATTTACATTTCTTCTCCTGATATATCCTTTTTATATTTTTATGATTGCCTTTTAAAATATATTGAATGGTTGTAATTCCAGGGAAATGTCTTTCAGAACAGTATTTATTCCTATCTACATGTTTTGGAGAGTGCACTAGGGGACATTGAAGTTTATTTCCTGAAAAGAGTTTAATTTTAAAATGTATTTTATTTAATAACTCAATGATTCAGGGAATGTCTAGGTATTTCAGAGATTGTTTTAGACAGTTTGTTTTCTTGTGATATGTGACCACTTCATCTAAGCTGAATAATGTCTTCATAATGTCCACTTAGAATCTTTTGAATTCTGTAGGATCTGTACTGATGTCATTGTTTCCTTTCTGATATTGGTAATTTTCCTGGGGTAGGATTCTTAGCTCCTCCTGAGGTCCTGCCTCTAAAATTCAGGGAACAATGAGTCAGATTAGTACTCTGATTTCAAAGGGAAAGCTGATCATCTACCATTTTTTGTTTATGTAAATGGACACATTAACATCCCTTGTCTGAACCTTAGTTACCTTGTTTGGAGCATTTTGCTATAAATCTCACTTCTCAGAGTGGTTGTGGGGCTTGATGTGGCTGGGGTATGGGATGGCTTAAACATAATTTATTTCCAGACCAGGTTAAGGCATGAAGGGGTTGGGACTTGTTAGAATCCTGTTGTCGGACTCCACAGTAAGGGTAGACATTTGAGGCACCCAATCAAAAACCTCAGTTGTTCCTAGCACTGAGAAATTTGATAGAATGTTTCTAAAACATTATTCATGGTCTAATGCACAAAAAGTAAAGTGATAGCCCTGGAAGTAGACAGGGAACCATAAGAAAAAAGAGAGAGCAAAGCTCAGTGGTCACCAGTGCCTGGGACCATCAAGGGGTTATTAAGGAGGAAGTTTCCACCTCTGTGGGGAACAGAAGAGGCTCCCTAGGGTCCACACACACAGGGAGTGAGCCAAGACTCTGGGCGAGGCTGGAAGCTCTGGGTCTCCTTCTGTGAGATTTTCTTTTTTTTTTTTGAGATGGAGTCTTGCTCTGCCACCCAGGCTAGAGTGCAACGGCGCGATCTCGGCTCATGGCAACCTCTGCATAAAGTGGTATGTATTTAAGGCATGCATTAGACAAATTACTAAGTATTTACTAGATAAGAAAAAATTATATCTGAATCTTTTCAAATTGCCGTCTTATGCATTATATTCTCTTTTTATAGTGCAATTTCTTAATAGTTAATGCCAGAAGATTTTTTTTTCTTCCTTTCTTTCTTTCTTTTTTTTTTTTTTTGAGACAGAGTCTCACTCTGTTGCCAGGCTGGAGTGCAGTGGCACGATCTCGGCTCACTGCAACCTCCGTCTCTCGGGTTCACGCCATTCTCCCGCCTCAGCCTCCTGAGAAGCTGGGACTACAGGCACCCTCTACCATGCCCAGCTAATTTTTTTTTTTTTTGTATTTTTAGTAGAGACGGGGTTTCACCATGTTTGCCAGGATGATCTCTGTCTCTTGAACTCGTGATCCACCTGCCTTGGCTTCCCAAAGTGCTGGGATTACAGGCATGAGCCACTGCACCTGGTCGCCAAAAGATATTTTTAAAAACCTAAATGCCACTTGAAATGAATAAGACCCTCAATAATTCATGGGATATACATGTGAACTTATGACATATGATGAAATAAGCAGGTTACAAAATTGTAATATATCAAGCAAGGTAGAAAGCCATGGCAGAAAAAGAGACAAGCATTTTCAAGATAAGGAATGAAAGAGGGGAAACAGTACTATTGATTTTACAGATTTTACAAAGATATCTTAGGTGTGTTTTCCTAAATAATAAATGTACCCTCCTTTTGACCTTTATGTAATGAAATAACCATGCACACATTTTCAAATAATACTTCATTTACTTGACTTTATGCTTGAAAATTGAAGTATGGTGCTGTTTGTTATTTTCATTTATGCATTTTACTACCTTGTAATATTCCACTGAGTCTATTTACCACACTATGTTTATTTTTTTCGTAGGTGGACTTTGGTATTTTATAGCTTTGGCTAATAGGAACAGCATTCCTATAACAGTTGTGAGTGTATCATGACACATAAGTAGACATTTATCTCTAGGGTACATAATTAAGTACATAATTAAGAAGGGTCACAGCCGTGTGCCTCCTCTTTTTAACTAGATAATTCCAATACACTTCCTTAATTGATTAAAGCAATTTGTACTCTTACTATTAATGTACTAAAATTCTACATGTTCAATATTCTTTCCAAAAAATGATTTTGCTACTTTTTTCTTTTATTGAGACTGAGTCTTGCTCTATCACCCAGGCTGTAGTGATCTCGGCTCACTGCAACCTCCGCCTCCTGGGTTCATGCGATTCTCGTGCCTTGGCCTCCCAAGTAGCTGGGATTAACAGGCAGGCGCCACCATGTCTGGCTAATTTTTGTATTTTTAGTAGAGACAGGGTTTCACCATGTTGGCCAGGCTGGTCTCGAACTCCTGACCTCAGGTGATCCTCCTGCCTCGGCCTCCCAAAGTGTTGGGATTACAGGCATGAGCCACCACACCCGGCCTATTTTTTTCTTTTCCCTCCATTGTGCTATGATTTTTGACATTACAATTTTACTGAAACTACACCATAAGAATGAAGCAGAAATTATTATAACCTTTAAATAAACTTTACAACTGGTTCATACTCGTGTGAACGACAATTCTTTTGACTACTTCCCAACTGTGCATTCAATGGCGTCATATGGGCACCCTGAAGTTGGCCATAAAGGACGTATTTATACCACACTAATCAGCAAATACCATAAATCTGGGGCTTTATATGTTCAGAGTTTTCTTAAGAAAATAATTTTTTCAGAGAGCCAGTTTAACAGAATACCATGAGGCTGAGCCTTCGAGCGTTAGTGTGCTCATTCTGAGAGATGATATTTCTGGACGAAGTACACAGGTATCATCCGATGAAGAGTGAAGGGAATTCAGGGTCCAGAGAGGGTGCTAGGGCATCATTTCAGACTCATATTTCCCTTTTTTTTTTTTTTTTTGGAGATAGAGTCTTGCTCTGTTGCCCAGGCTGGAGTGCAGTGGCAAGATCTTGGCTCACTGCAACCTCCGCCTCCCGGGTTCAAGCTATTCTCCCACCTCAGCTTCCTGAGCAGCTGGGATTACAGGTGCTCACTGCCACACCCAGCTAATTTTTGTATCTTTTAGTAGAGACAGGGTTTCACCATGTTGGCCAGGTTGGTCTCGAACTTCTGACCTCAAGTGATCCGCCCACCTCAGCCTCCCAAAGTGCTGGGATTACAGGTGTGAGCCACTGTGCCTGGCCTCAGACTCATGTTTCAAAGTCCCAAATACAAATCTGCCCACCTATTCCAGTTATTTAATCCAGATCTATGCTCAGAACTGAAAAGATGGAGAATCAATAGTTCACTTTAGAGAATGCGGTAGTTGGAAACAAAGACAAATGTATTACAGGACAGTGGACCAGAGCACGTGATCGCAGGGGTGTGGATGCAAACCCACCATGGGGGACGTGCCTTCACATCACAGAGAGCGAAAGGAAGGGAGGGGCAGACACGGAGGGTCCACAACAGCTGGACTGAAAGCACTGCCATTTAATGGAAGTTTAATGGAGGAAGCGTTCTCTACAGGCACCCAGACATCTCCCTGAACCTGACCCAAGCCTCCCCTTCTCGACTTTCTCAGTAGACGGTTTCCCGAATGATGGTCCAGACTTTCTTCCAGAACCTCCTAGGACTATCAGACTCATTGCCAAGGCTCTGGCACTCTGAAGGGTGCATTGTTCTCTCATGTATTTACCTCCTTGCTGCATCTTGGGGACTTCTCTAGCTGTGCCAATCCTAAAGCAGCAGAATCCCGAGGACCACCAGGACCAAGCCAGCCACAGCCACGCGGATGAGATTCTCCACTGTGTAATCCTGGGGGTGTGAGGCTGGGGATGGTGGACCAAGAGGTCTCAGAGGTCAGGGCAGATCAACATCACCCGGGACCCCTGGATGTCCACCCAGGGCACCCACCTCCCCTTCACAGGACCTGACCCTCTGTGCCAGCCCCATAACCGAGAGCATCTCCTTACACACCAGTCTTGGAGTCTGTCTTGTTTTGCGATGGGCTGAGGGTCTCAGCTGCTCCTGAGAATCAACCAAAAAAGGGGGAGGTGTGTGAGGAGTTGAAGAGACTTAAGCCAACATGTCCCTCAGTTGCTGCATTCCTTTGTGTCTACACTTCTCCTAACTGCTCTGTAGTTGTGTGATAGAACCTTTCCCTGCTGTGGCAGAGGTACATTCGCATACATACATACATATATGCATAGGTGTAAATATGTGTGTATACATAATATGTGTTATGCATATGTGTATACATAATATGTATTATG
Organism: Homo sapiens; assembly: GCF_000001405.40. Classification (NCBI taxonomy): domain Eukaryota; kingdom Metazoa; phylum Chordata; class Mammalia; order Primates; family Hominidae; genus Homo; species Homo sapiens. The sequence continues at coordinate 11,210 of NT_187675.1, read as the reverse complement.
CATATGTGTATAGATAATATGTATTATGCATATGTGTATGCATAATATGTATTATAAGATATAGTGTGAGTATATATAAATATATAATATATAAGATATATAATAGTGTGTGTATACATATAAATATATAATAAGATATGTAATAGTGTGTACATATATAAATATATAATATATAATAAGATATATAATAGTGTGTATATATAAATATATAATACATAATATATTATAAGATATATAATAGTATGTATATATAAATATATAATACATAATATATAAGATATATAATAGTGTGTGTATATATAAATATATAATACATTATATATTATAAGATATATAATAGTATATATAAATATATAGTACATAATATATAATAAGATATATAATAGTGTGTGTATACATATAAATATATAATAAGATATGTAATAGTGTGTGCATATATAAATATATAATATATAATAAGATATATAATAGTGTATATATATAAATATATAATACATAATATATTATAAGATATATAATAGTATGTATATATAAATATATAATACATAATATATAAGATATATAATAGTGTGTGTATATATAAATATATAATACATTATATATTATAAGATATATAATAGTATATATAAATATATAGTACATAATATATAATAAGATATATAATAGTGTGTGTATATATAAATATATAATACATAATATATATTATAAGATATAATAATGTGTGGGTAATATAAATATATAATACATAACATATAAGATATATAATAGTGCATATATAAATATATAATACATAATATATATTATAAGATATAATAATGTGTGGGTATATATAAATATATAATACATAATATATATTATAAGATATAATAATGTGTGGGTATATATAAATATATAATACATAATATATAAGATATATAATAGTGTATATATAAATATATAATACATAATATATATTATAAGATATATAATAGTGTGTGAGTATATATAAACACATACATATATATTTGAAGTGAGAAGAGTATTATATAATTTAGAAACAAACAAGTTTGTCCTCCATTTTCTTGTGGTTAATGTAATTATTATCAATAAATCAGAAGAGATCATTTCGGAAAGGATTGAAAGGGAGTGTGTCTGTGGTAAGTTAATAGGAACTAAAATTAGCATACCCAAACCAATAGCTTTCTCATCCATACGTAACTAATTTTAGAAAATAGAAAGGAATCAAAGACTTTCAAATTATTCAAGTAGTAAAACAATGCTTAAAATTCACAATGTCCACAATTTTTATGAATACAACTTCAAGCATCTGCTAACTGTATAAAGTTTAATTTTAAATGTATTGGATAAAAAGACATTATTAATGAGAAGTTATTCTCCATCATGAATGCACATATTTAATTTAATCCCAAAGAAAATCAGAGCACAGTTATTTTACATCATAACGCTACCTAACAAATTAAATGTGTAAATTATAAATGCCAGCATTGCTTTGAAATCTTCAGAAACAGAAAGAGAAACTAGATATGTGGACATAAAAAATAAAGGACAGAAAGGAATTGCACACGAGGTTTGCTGTTGAATAATTTGCCTGCATTGCTGCAGTGAGCAGGTGCATGATCTCCCCTTCGTCTCAGGTATGCACTGAGTATTTTGGGGCCGCCAGGGGAGCCCAGGTGGGGAGTGGGTGGCGCCTCCATCTTCTACCCTCAGCCTAAGCATGATTCCTCCAAGGTTTCTCCATATCTCATTTCAGCCCTCCCTGGCCTTTAGCCCCATCTGAGGTCTCTGGGGTGGGAGCCCAGGATTAGGAGGTCCCTGACTATTTCCACCCTCTCATGGGCTGGGCCCTCCCCTGCCGACCCTCCCCCTTTACTCCCCTCTTTCCTTAGCGTCCTGAGCTCTCCTGGGGGCAGGGCCTGAGCTGAGGTTTGAGCTCAGAGAGGACAGGGTCAGCGGCCTCACCTGAGACCACGAGCTCCAGGGGGTCACTGGGGTGAGACAGCAGGTAGGGGAAGAATCTGCGTGAGCTGTAGCACCTGTAGGTCCCCGCGTGGGCTGAGGTCACAGGACTCATGGGGAATTCAGCCTGGTGCTGCTGAGCTTGGTGCTCTGATCTCAGACGCAGTGGGTGATGGGCTGCCCCCTCCTTGGTCAGAAGGAAAGTGTCCAACTGCTCCCGTGACTGACACAGCAGGGTCACGTTCTCTCCTGAGGCCACCGTGGGGCCCGGCTGCACCGAGAGGGAGGGTCTGCCACGGATCTGTCCTGGAGAGAAGAAGGATGGGTGAGGGGCTGCCCCACCTCGTTCTGAGCTGACACCTCCCCAGGCCTCTCTCTGGGACCCTCAGTCTCTGTCTCTGTTTTCTCTGAGTCTCCCTCTACCCACCCATCCCCTGTCTCTGTCTGTCTCTCCCTCCCTTGGGACCCCCACCCCTCATCCTGGCCATCACCACCTGGGCTCCCCCAGCAGGGCCTGTGCGGAGCGTGGGTCCCTGACTGAACCTGCTGGGCTCCTCACCTGCGATCAGGATGCTCAGGGGGTCACTGGGGGCCGACCACTCGGAGGAGAGGTTGTGTGCACCGTAGCATCTGTACTGGCCCCCGTGGGAGACCCTCACAGGGCCCAGGGTGAAGTTGGCCTGGGAGAGCCCAGCCTGGGGCTGCCGGCCAGAGCCCTGGACGAGGTCATGTCCCCCCTCCTTGTACAGAGTGAATTTGTCATAGCCGACATCAGAGCCACACTGGAGGGTCAGATTCTCCCCAGGGGCCACGACAGGGCCCTGCAGGGTCAGGAGGGAGGGCTTCCTAGACACGCCTGGAGGGAAAGAAGAGTCGGGACTAGGAGGGCTGGTTCCTCCCACACCCCTTCCTTCTCCCCTCCTGGCCCTGCAGGTCTCACTGTCTCTCATACTCAGTGTCTCTGGGCTCAGGAGTCCCAAACTTCCCTTGTTCCACCCTCCTACATGGGGCTCCGTGAGAGTAAGTTCTCAAAAATAAATAGGGCAAGGAGGAAGACATCCATACCTAAGACCAGGATCTCCATGGTATCACTGGGTTCCGACCACACCCAGGGGAAGTTCGTGTAATGCCCATAGCATCTGAACATCCACCGGTGACTGGCAGCCACACGGCCCACAGGGAACAGGGCCAGGGACAAGGGACAGCCCCTTGGAGAGTTCCTGTGAGTCCAGCATCCAGGAGAGCTTGTTTTCTCCTTCCTCAATCAAAATGAACCTGTGAAATCCCACCCTTGAGCTACACTGGATGGTCACGTTCTCTCCTGAGGTCACCACAGGGCTCGGCAGGGCTGAGAGAGTGGGTTTTCTGTGGGCTCCTAGGAGAGAAGGAGACACTGTCTTAAATGGGGCTCACGCGTCCCACATCATCCCCCAGGGCTGAGTTATTAGAACGGAGATGCCCTTGAGAGCCGACCCCCTTCCTGCAGGCAGAGCCTGGGGCTGGGACCCCTGAGTGTCCTCTTACCTGTCACCACCAGCTCCAGGGGCTCGCTGCGCTCTGACCAGCCTGCAGGGCTGAGATAGTGACAGTGGTATCTCCCTGCATGGTGCTCTCTCATGGATGGGATGAAGAAGTTGGTCTTGTTCCTGGGCTCTGGTGGGCTCTGTTGGTACCAGGTCATGGGGTTTCCTTCCTTGGTGAGATAGTAACCCTGGGTATCCAGGGTCCCCTGGCACCAGAGGGTCATGGGGCTCTCCCAGGTAATCACAGAGCCTGGCTCAGCCCAGAGGCTGGGTTTGGGGAGGGTCCCTGGAAGAAACCACAGGCTGGGGTCCACAGACCTCCCCCGCTCCTCATTCCCAGCTCAGGTCACAGACCCTCTTGATTTTCTCACCCTCAGTTCAGAAGCCCCTGAGATGAGAGTCCAGGTGCTGAGTGTGAGGTCAGGCATGGGAGGTTAGCAGAGACTCACCTGCAAGTGCTTGGGCTTTCTGGCCCAGACTCAGCCATGGAGAAGAGTTTCCTGTGGGGGATTTGGAACACAGAGGTGTGGCTGCTTCCCTTCCTGTTGGAGCACCAGTAGCCACTGGAGCCCTGAGGCTCTCTGGTGAACAAGGCTGCTGTGGGACCCTCCCCACCTCAGCCCAGTGCCCCTCCTGTCCCTCGTCTCTCCACCACTGACTGAGGCACAGAAGAACAGTGAGGATGGACACCATGATGCCTGCTCTGCGTGCTCCAGCTGTGGGACAGGTGACCACATGGCCCTCCATGACAGACAGATGCACGGATGTGGTTAAGTCAGAGCCTGCTGCCGCCTGCCTGGGTCCCCACAGCTGTGAACCCACAGGAAGTGGACAGCCCCTTGCTGGGCCTGTCTCTTATTCCCCCCCCAGTGCAGGGGCTCAGGAGGACCCAGGCCCTCTGCACACATCTCAGCCCAGACCTGAGGTGTCCCCTGATTGCCAGGGATCCTTTGTCTGAAAACCTGCCCGTGGAGGGTGGACCCAACATCATATCTATGTCAGCTCCCAACTTAGCTGGGTCTAAACTGAAAACACAGCCCTTATTTTCTCAGAGCCTCCACTCATGACATCGGCTTTCTTTTTCCCCACTGATGCAAAGACAAATATTTCCCAGCAGAAAGTCATCCTGATCTGGAGAGACCCATTTCCTGCGTTCAGTAAATAAAGTCAGTTTCATTAGGGGAGGCTCTGGGAAAATAAGGGGATGCAGACTAGCAGAAGATGAACATTTAGCTACTTGTTTCTCAATTAATTGATTTATTACCAAAGAGAGAGAAGTGGAAACATGAGAATAGGGACCATGACTAGAATGTGGTTGAGGGAATGGTTTCTATCTTATTCCCTGGCAGAGAACTAAGGGATAAGAATGAGAAAGCTGGCTGGGTGCAGTGGCTTACACCTGTAATCCCAGCACTTTGGGAGGCCGAGGCAGGAAGATCACAAGGTCAGGAGTTCAAGACCAGCCTGACCAACATGGTGAAACCCCTGTCTCTACTAAAAATACAAAAACTAGCTGGGTGTGCTGGCATGCGCCTGTAATCCCAGCTACTAGGGAGGCTGAGGTGGGAGAATCGCTTGAACCTGGGAGGTGGAGCTTGCAGTGAGCCGAGATCGCGCCACTGCACTCCAGCCTGGGCAACAAAGCCGGACTGTCTCAAAAAAAAAAAAAAAAAAAAAAAAAAAAGAAAGAGAGAAAACCCAGCAGTGAGAGGTAGTTGTGAGAACACACTAAAGAGGAAAGATAATCCAGGGCTGGGAGTGGTGGCTCATGCCTGTAATTCCAGCACTTTGGGAGGCTGAGGCTGGCAGATCACAAGGTCAGGAGTTCGAGACCAGCCTGACCAACATGGTGAAACCCTGTGTCTACTAAAAATGCAAAAATTAGCTGGGTGTGGTGGTGGGTGCCTGTAATCCCAGCTACTCAGGAGGCTGAGGTGGGAGAATCGCTTGAACCCAGGAGACGGAGGTTGCAGTGAGCTGAGATTGCACCACTGCACTCCAGCATAGGCAACAAAGCCAGACTCTGCCAAAAACAAAAACAAAAACAAAAACAAAAACAAAAAACAAGAAAGCTCAGTGAGAGGTGGTTGTGAGAACACACTAAAGAGGAAAGATCATTCAGGGCTGGGAGTGGTGACTCACGCCTGTAATCCCAGCACTTTGGGGGGCCACAGGCGGGTGGATTACCTGAGGGCAGGAGTTCAAGACCAGTCTGGCCAACATGGTGAAACCTCGTCTCTACTAAAAATACAAAAACTAGCTGGGTGTGATGGCGGGTGCCTGTAATCCCAGCTACTCGAGAGGCTGAGTCAGGAGAATCTCTTGAACCCAGGAGGCAGAGGTTGCAGTGAGCTGGGATCGTGCCACTGTACTCTAGCCTGGGTAACAGAGCAAGGCTCTGTCTCAAAAAAATAAAAATTAGAAAGAAAAAAGGAAAAGGAGAAGAGGAAGGAGACAGAAAGGAGAGAAACATCCCTGAGGTGGAACATTACATGCAACATGGAGTAGGCAGGGAATCCGATAGAGCACTGAAACTCTCACTGGGTACGGTGGCTAACATCTGTACTCCCAGCACTTTGGGTGGCCGAGGTGGATGGATCACCTGAGGTCAGGAGTTTAAGACCAGCCTGACCAACATGGTGAAACCCCATCTCTACTAAAAATACAAAAGGCTGGGTGTGGTGGCTCACGCCTGTAATCCCAACACTTTGGCAGTCTGATACAGGCGGATCACATGAGATCAGGAGTTTGAGACCAGCCTGGCCAAGATGGCAAAACCTCATCTCTACTAAAAATACAAACATTACCTGGCTGTGGTGGCAGTCGCCTGTAATCCCAGCTATGCAGGAGGCTGAGGCAGGAGAATCGCTTGAACCTGAGAGGTGGAGGTTGCAGTGAGTCAAGATCGTGCCATTGCACTCCAGCCTGGCCAATAGGAGCAAAACTCCATGTCAAAATAAAATAAAATAAAATAAAATATAATAAAATAAAATAATAAATCAAAAAAGGACTGGACATCTCCTGTGGGTTGTCAGTGAATGGAACTAAGCAAGCCACCGCTCTTTCCCTTTTGTCCCGCAAGTGTCTTTCTTGGCCTCCAGGAAGTGAGTTCCATCATGTCAGACCCTATGTTTGTTCCTGCTGGGTTCACTGAGGCTCCTCCCTTTCCACCTGTGGCTCCCCATGGGTTCCCAGTCCCCAGCCAGTGTTGTGAATCGAGCCAGGAAGACCAGCCCTATCACACCCCTCCTGATGGAATTCCCACAGTGTCATCCTGGAGAACAGGGGCTGGGGGCTGGGGTAGGATCAGAGACCTTTTCATGTGGGCCAGGCCCCTCCCTCCACAGGAGCTCTGACACGAAGCTCATCACCATTCATTTCACCCTGACGATATTCTTCCTGCCCAGACACCCCCGTTCTCCCTATGTCATCATGGGCACCTCAGTGAAATCCATGGTTGAGGGTCTCTGTCACTTACTCTGCCCTCTTCTTGGAAAATTTCCTTGGATCCTTCCAGAGCCCTTCCTGAGTGTGCTGCAGGGTCTCTGCCACATGACACACTCTCAGGAACCCTCATCCTCCCCTTAATCTACTGCGCCCACATAGCCAGGTGCAGGCTCCGTTTCTTCATCTTCCCTTCCCCACAGGCCCCGATGGAGAGTGGATTAGACTCGCTCCTGAGTAGGGACTCAGGTCACTCTGACCCCTTCCTCCCCGTGGACGAGGCCTCTGTCCCAGAGCATTGGAGGCTGAAGGGCCTTGTGGATTCCCACACTGGCCACAGTCTCCGATGCAGATGGGGAACTGGGGACCTGGGAGGGGTTGCCTAGCCCAAGGCCACATAGCTGGGCGGTGGCACAGCCTTCACTCACACAGGGACATTCCATCTTCCCAGGGACTTCACACTGGAGGCTAAGAGCCCCACTTTGCACACCACATTCAGGGGTAGATTCTGTGTGTGACTAACAAGTTCTCTTATGGTTCCGAGGTAACAGGACAGCAAATGGATGAGTGAGAGTTTCCCTCACCCCACTGAAGTAGGACCATTCTCTGTGGAGGGTTGGTCCCCTGACTTCCTCTACTCTGTCATCTCCCTAGTGACTGATAGGGGTCCTGGGGTCTCTTCCCTGGAATCCCATGAGGGACAATTCCTTTCCTGAAGGGAAGGTATAGAGAGGACTAGCAGGTGCCTGGTGATGGAAAGTCCCCATAATCAAGAGACATTGCCTCCCCCCCCCGGCATGATAAATATCTGGGTTTCCAAATGGGAAATCTGTCTGTGATGAGAGCTCAGGAGGGGCTTCTGGAAGATGGAAAAGGGCTAGAGGCTGAGGCCACTGCTTATCTCCCCACACTGTATCTGGCTTCACCTCCTGTGTTTGTCCTGACCTCTTCCTTCACTCACCTGGATAAGTAGGACCCCAAAGTGGGCCTCCAGACAGGAAGCAGTGGAGAGTGTGGAGCTGCCCTGTCTACCACCCTACACCCTGACACCACTGTCATACTCAACCTCTCTTTTCCTCTTTGTGTTTCTCATTGCTTCATTTTGTCTGGAATCCCTAAGATTCCCATGTCTCCAGCAGGCTGTCCCTCAGACGTGGCTATATGATTTAGTGTTTCACAGGGCATGCAGCAGGCATGGGCTACCCCCAGTAACAGTGGTCATCTAGGGCTGATCACTCACAGGCAGAGCCATCGACAGAGAGCTGCAGCATCTAGAGGTCCCATCACCAGCCCCAAGACCCAGAGAGAAGTTGGCCTGAATGCCCCACTCTGTCTCTGCACCCCAGTGAGCCAGTGTCCAGGGGCCTTACCTTCCTCGTTAGAAGGCACAGGTCAAATGAGCTTCCAGAGCTGCAGAGCAAAGTCACATTCTCTCCATCATTACTTACTGCAGGGCACAGTTGAGCTGAGAAGGAAGGTCTCTTGTAGACGCCTGGGGAAAAAAATAGTCCTTGACTGTCGAGCACAAGCCTTACCCAGCCTATCCTCAGGGCATGAAAAAGGCATTCTCTCCACCTGTTCTGGGGAGCACACTCTGTTACCCACTCGTGCCTCTCTCCATCTCAGTTCTAGCTCTACAAGCTGGCTCATCATGTGTGTGTTTTCCTGTCTGTCTTTGCTCAGCTTTTCCTTGAATCTCTTGCTTTTTGCCGGTGCGTGTGTGGCTTTCTGCCCTTAGAACCATATGAGATTTAGGGTTCTCCTGGCACATAGAACTGTTTACTTTGAGGACCCTCAGAAAACATAGCCCTGGGCTAAGGCTCCCTGTCCTGGAACTAGAAGGTTATGGGTGTCACCATTTCCCAACAGCATGTCTGAAAGTGCCAGAATCTTCAAAGAGTCTGCAACATGTTTGTAGGATCTTTATAGGGTCTGATATTGCAGGGACCAACCAAGGTGCCCTCACACCCCAAGACGCTGGAAGTGACCCCTTGCTGAAAGTGGTTGGAAGTTTCACATAGAAGTTTGAGTTAAGCCACATTGCTGAGCAATGCCTCAGCATCCCAGTCTTCATCCAGACCTTCCAGGAGCCTGGCTGGAGGGGGTGTCTCTGGTGTGTCACTGAGCCTTATAGCAGAGGAAGGGGGCTATGGTGGAAACTACCTCCAAGATACCACTCAGTCCTAAGCTGGGGAACAAGCTGAGCTTGGATTCTGGTAGTGAATGAACCGGGGAACATTTATTTGAAGGGTTCTAAGAGTAGCATCGTGTGGGTGCGTTAATTGTATGTGAAGGGGAAGATCCTGAGAAAACAAGAGCTGCTCCACTCTGTGCCTGGGTTTACCAGAGGGACCGATGAGGTCCTCACAAGACCCAGGAATCCCACCGGGGGAAGGAGGCTTAGGGAGATGTGTTTAAGACTGTTAACTGAGTCACAGACAGAAGCAGATCAAGCCATCCCACCACCTAGGTTTGTGGTTTTGTTTCTCCTAAACTTCCTTTCTGTAAGTAGCAGAACCTTCTCATCACCATCCTTCAAAACCTCTGCATTGTTTGAGCTCCTTGTATTTTCTGGAGATTAATCTCTTGCTTGCAAATATTCTTTCCCATTCTGTAGGTGGTCTCTTCACTCTGCTGTTTGTTTCCTTGATTGTGCAGAAGGTTTGCAGTTTGCTATGATCTCATTTGCCTATTTTTGCTTTTGCTGCCTGAGCTTTTGAGGGTTTTTTTTTTTTTTTTTTTTTTTGAGACGGAGTCTCGCTCTGTCACCCAGGCTGGAGTTCAGTGGCATGATCTCAGCTCATTGCAACCTCCGCCTCCCGGGTTCAAGTGATTCTCCTGCCTCAGCCTCCCTAGTAGCTAGGACTACAGGTGAGTGCCACCACACCCGGCTAATTTTTGTATTTTTAGTAGAGGCAGGGTTTCACCACGTTTGGCCAGGCTGGTCTCAAACTCCTGACTTCAAGTGATCCACCCACTTTGGCCTCCCAAAGTGCTGGGATTACAGGCGTGAGCCACTGCGCCCGGCGTTGTATTGGATTTTTAATTCAGCCCTATTTTCTCCGACATTTGATATTGGCATTTTTGTCTTTTTTGGATATGCTAGGATCATGGTGTCATAATTTAATTTTAATTTTTATTTTTATTTTAAGTTCCGGGGTACATGTGCAGAATGTGTGGGCTTATTGCATAGGTCAATGTGCGCCATGGTGGTTTCCTGCACCTGTCAACCCATCACCTAGGTATTAAGCCCAGCATACATTAGCTATTTTTCCTAATGCTCTCCCTACCCCTACCCCACCCCCCCCCGACAGGCCCCAGTGTGTGTTGTTCCCCTCCCTGTGTTCACGCATTCTCATTGTTCAGCACCCACTTGTAAGTGAGAACATGCAGCGTTTGATTTCCTGTTCCTGTGTTAGTTTCCTGAGGATAATGGTTTCCAGCTCCATCCATGTCCCTGCAAAGGACATGATCTTGTTTCTTTTTATGGCTTCATAGTATTCCGTGGTGTATATGTCTCACATTTTCTTTATCCAGTCTATCATTGATGGGCATTTGGGTTGATTCTATGTCTTTGCTATTGTGAATAGTGCTGCGATGAACACATGTGTGCATGTATCTTTGCAATAGAATGATTTATATTCCTTTGGGTATACGCGCAGTAATGGGACTGCTTTTACCTGTGCCAAAATACTGAAGTAGAAATGATTATTCACTCTAAAATGGAAGGTAATAAGATGTATACGTGAGCTATCAGATGCCTGGTGCTTATGAGTGAAGACAAGTCTGTCCAACGCTTCCCAACCCTGCATTCAGGGATGTCTCGTTGGCATCTTGATTATGGCCATGAAAAAAGAATTTACGTCAAGGAAATTGGTAAATGCCACTAATCATAGCATTTCAAAAAATGTCTTTTTCAGAATTAGCATACCATTGGGTCGTGACTTCAAATGCCAGTGTGTTGATTCCAGGTGGTGATATTTCAGGAGAAACTACACAGATAGCATCTGATAAGGAGGGAAGAGCTCATAGGGTCCACACAGGAGGTGAGGGCATCACGGTGCATTTATCTTTTCCTGGTCGGACTCTGATCTTCTCCCGTTGAATTAGTTCCTAAACCAGGTGCGGAACTCTGAACTGAAGACATGAAGACCCAGTAAAGTACACCAGGAAGTGTGGCAATGAGAAATGAAGAGGACTGTGTGACACGCCATGGACCAGAGCATGCAGGTGTGCAGAGGTGTGGACCCAACGCTGCCATGTGGGATGGAGCCTCATGTCGTG